>NC_000012.12:71399521-71551037 GCF_000001405.40 Homo sapiens
GCAATTCCCCAAGAACACTCTACTCCTTCAAACTGGAACACTCTTCCCTCACTTTCTCAGGACTTACTCCCATCTGTAACTCAAGCTACCACTTAAAGGGCAGCTTCTCCAGAAAGTCCTGCATTTCCAAAGTCCCGTGAGAACAGAAAGTCCTCCTGCAAGTGCTCTGAGCACCGTTCAATATATCCTATTAATCATACTGTATTGCAGGGTGGTTCGTCTGTCTCTGCCACTGGATAGCATTATTTTATCCTCACAAAACCCAATGAGATAGGTCTTATTATGCCATTATATAGATTAATAAACCAAGATTCAGAGAGAAACTTACTTAAGGTCACATAGTTAATTGGAGGTGGAAGAAGAAATAAATAAAATCCTGTAGCTTCTTTTAACCATCACACTATGCAGCCATTGAGGATGAAAGCATTAATTCAAACCATTATGAACTGTTGCTATATTAACTTAGATTTTATATATATTATATGTATAAACGATATACATATGTACATATAATGCTTAGTGTATAACCTACCTGTAACACATACTATGTGCTCAATAAACATTAGTCATCATCATTATTATTATTATCATTAGCATTATTAATGATTGGTCAGAATTTATCTCTTTCCAGGCAAAACTCCAGGAAAACAGCCAAGCCCAGGACCTTTCCAAACAATGAGAACAATCACAGGTAGTAGTTTTCTCAAACTACATCCCCTGCTTTCTTTCCTCAGAAGTTTTTAATACCAACCTGTATTAAGCTTCCAAAACAGACAAAATAGAATTGCTCTCAAAGGAAATTCCTTTTCACCTCCATCCACCTGCAATTATTCCTTGGTGATTGAGGGCTACATTAAAGAGTCTAAAGAGTATACATTTTACATCTTTGGTGCTGTCATTCTATCACTGCTTTTGCACGATATCCATCTTTATCCTTTTGGCTTGACTTAGGCCCATTATACGTGAGGCCCCATTAAACGAGTGAATTTTTACAAAACTCTTTATTTCTTTAGGGATGTGAAAATGAGTCTTATACCAATGGCAGCAGCATCTATTTGAAGACAATCTGATTTTGCAGGGACTTAAATGGAAAACAATGAAAACAGGAACTGTCTGCTATTAGATATGTTTCCTGAAACCCAAGCTGAGTAAATTAAGTCTCTTGGTTTTGTTGTTGTTCTCACCTCAGAGAGTCCTGCTTAAATCAACAGGGTTTTGAGAGTACAGATCAATAGTAAGACTTTGCATTTTTGCAGAAGAACAAAGCTTTCTGGGGAAAGAATCAGCCAATGAACAGCAATTAGTGTCTTAATTGCAAATACACTTAAAGCTCTGAAGAATTGTGTTAGTTCATTGAATTATTGAATCTGGGATTTGTTCCTCCACATTGAAAACTAAGTGCACAATTTAACATACTTGGCAACTTTTTTAAAGCACAGTCCAAACTTTGAAATGCTTCTTGCATTACAGATCCAAATAGCCCTCATGAAATAATAAAATAAAATCTTTGGTTATCATTTTATTCACAGTAGCATATTGGATTTGCAGTTAATAATTTTCAATTTCCCAAGAGTAAATTTAGCCATAAAAAATTAGTTTATAAATGACCATACAATGTTTTCAATCAACTTCCATATTAGAGATTCAGCTTCTTAATTTAGAGTTCACTCTCATTTTAAATTTATGGATGAAAGAATGAAGAGCTGAAACTTCACGTCTGTGGAGTAGACACTAGACATTGAATCCAATTAGAGCTCCTAGGTGTAGGAAGAGTTGTACTCAACATCGTAAGCACAGGGCCGAGAATTTGGGGATGTGGGAAGCCAACAGAAAGGAATAGAGCACCTAATGAAATAGTCCAGCAGAAGGGCAGAACATAAGGAGAAATCTCTGTTCATTCCACATAATTCTTTATCTGACCTCACCCCCACATTGCAGCAAGTACTACAGATGAGGTAGAGACTCCTCAGCCATAAGGAATGAACCCCAAGGCACTAGGTTCTCTCCACCTACTCTGTCTTCATAGTCACAAAGATTTTGACAGAGCTCCAAATCTGGGAGAAGATTTTGAACTATTCACAGATCTCACCGCTCCTAAAAACTTCAGAAGAGACCTCAGAGCTCCCCTCAGTGCTGTCCCCTCTACCCATTCCAGCTAGAGGAAGGACCATCACACTCTCTGACCTTCCCTGTACAAAATTCTCAGGGCTTTCATAAATACAGTTCCAATGTGCTCACAGCTGAGCTCGAGAGTCTTTATATATGGCATTGTTCTCTGAGTATCATTTTCTGCTTCTGTTGTACCACATCTTAAAACTAATTTTCTCCTAAATTCTATTAGTATAATATTTTCTAAACTGTGAAGAAAAAGTCATTGGCCATTTTAATGGTGATATCATAGTGATTTATATTCATTTTTTCAAGCTTTCTGAGAAGAATGGAAGTAGAATTTTTTTAAAGTAAAAACAAAAAATTTCAGAATGCATAAAGGGAGAACTACATAAATAATCCTTCATGTCCAATGTAGTGCTTTTTAACACTGGGTCCATGAATTGTTATGGTTATCAATGTGTCAGCATATGTCTACTCAGAATGTGTCCATATACATCTACTTATGGAAATTTCGGGTGTATACATATATGAGAATTTTATGTAGGCATCATCGCTTTTATAATATTTTAAATAGGGAAAATGCATCAAAAAAAGTTTTAGGGGAGATAAATTAATAAAAAGTTCAAAATTTTTATCTCACCTTACTATTCAGCCTTTTAATGCCATGAACTTTTTTGGCAGGGGTCAGCCCTTTGCTTCTGAAGATAGAGATATAGATGCAGTATTCTGTATATGTAGACACAGATATAATAGCAGTCATTTTGATTGTCTTTTCTTTTTCTCTTTCTGCTTCTTAAAAAGGCCCCTGTGTTAGTGAGGAACCCATCTTCTTTCAGGAGCTATCTCAACAACTACAGACTTATTCATTGTTCCCCTGCCAGGTTCAGAGAGCTAACAAGGAATGAGGTAGACTCACAATAACAGCCAACCTTTACAGAGAGCTCCCTATATATACACCTGGCACTGTGCAAAACACTTTGCCTCTTCTAGTCTTTATAACAATCCCATTAGATTACTACCTTTATTATTCTCATTTTACACATAAGACTTAAAAAACTAAGTCCTTGCCAGAGTGACATCAGCAAGATGGTGGAATAAGGCTTTCCAGCACACACCTTCTCCTAAAATCATCAATTAGAACAATTATCTATGCACAAAAATATCTTTATAAGAGCTAAGGAATCCAAGTGAGAGATTATAGAACCTGAGTAGAGCACATAAACAAAAAAATATGCATTTAAGACGGTAGGATGAAAAGTGGTACCCTCTGCACGGGAAAAGGACTATGAAATAATACCCACAGCTTCACCACAGAGCCAGCAGAAGGCATGAGCACCCCTCTACCTTGAATCTCCAGTCCCTGCCCACAGACTCAGCATCCAGGCCCAATGCTAGGCCAGGCCAACCCCTTTGGCCCCAGGCTCCAGGTCTTTCCCAGCACCAGGCTAACCACCATACCTCAGGCTCTGAGCTATTGCCTGCAGCCCCAGGCTCCAGGCCAAACCCTGTGGTCCCAGGTTTCAGGCCCACCCAGCTATCCCATGTAGCTCAAGCTCTACACCAGCTTCTATAGCCTCAGGAATGAAGATGGCACCTGTGGACTCAGGCTTTAAGCCCACCACAACTCCATGCCGGCCCCCACAGCCCCAGGCTCTAGTGGATCCATGATCCA
Source organism: Homo sapiens (assembly GCF_000001405.40). Classification (NCBI taxonomy): domain Eukaryota; kingdom Metazoa; phylum Chordata; class Mammalia; order Primates; family Hominidae; genus Homo; species Homo sapiens. Next base: position 71,403,306 of record NC_000012.12, read on the forward strand.
GGCACACTCCAGTGGACTCAGATTCCATGCCCAACATTACAAGCACTAGGCGCACCCACCTACTCACCCAAGTACCAGGCTAGCTGCCCAAGGATTCCAAAAGCAAGCTTTCCATAGACCCCACTAGCCAACCTGCCCAGAATCTCTTAAACAGCTTACTGGTGAAGGGCTTGCCAATCTGTAAAGACTGGAAGAAGTGCCTGCTTCTTCAAACAAACATCGACATAAGACCAAAAGGATCATGAATAATCAGGAAAACATGACACCAGCAAAAGAACAAAATTAGTCACCAATAACTGACCTTAAAGAAATGGAGATCTACAAATCACCTGAGAAAGATTTCAAAATAATCATCTAAAAGAAACTCAGTGAGCTACAAGAGAATCCAGATACACAACTAAACAACATTAAGAAAATAATACATGAAGAAAATGAGAGGTTCAATAAAGAGATAGAAACAATAAAAAAGAAGCAAGCATAAATTCTGGATTTGCAGAATACTATGACTGAATTGAAGAAAACAAAAGCCATAAAGAGCTTCAACAGCAAACTCAATCAAGCATAGAAATAATTAGCAAGCTCAAAGACAAGTCATTTAAAATTATTTAGTCAGAGGAACAAGTTATAAAATAAAAGAAAAAGACTGAAGAAAGTCTAAGGGACTTATGAAACATCACTAGACTTGTTTAAAAGAAATGCTAAAGTGATTTCTTCAAGTTGAAATTAATGCTAACAACATGAAAACCTATGAATGTATAAAACTCTCTGTAAAAGTAAAAAATCATCAAATTTAGATACTCTAATATTGTAATGGTGGTTCATAAATCACCGTTAACTCTAGGATAAAAGTTAAAAGATAAAATATTAAAAATACCTATAGCTACAATAATTTGTAAGTGAATAAGCAATAAACAAAATTCAATTATGTAAATTATAGCATCAATAAGATAAAATGTGGGTGAGAAGTTAAAGTGTAGAGGTTTTGTATGCAGTCAAGTTAGTATCAGCTTAAAACAGACTATTATAAGATATTTTATGTAAGCCTTATGGTAACCACAAAAATAAATACCTGTAGTAGATACAAAAGAGATAGAGAATGAAATCAAAGCATACCACTCTTAAAAAGTTATCAAATCACAAAGGAAGACAGCAGGAGAAGAAGAAAAGAACAAAGGAACTACAAAATAGACAACAATTAATAATATGGCAATAGTAAATCCATACCTATCAATAATTTATTTATATAAATGGATTAAATTCTCCTATCAAATACTTCGAGTAATGAAATGGATAAACAAAATCAAGATCTAGCAATATGCTGCCTACAAGAGACTCATTTTAGTTTTAAGGACTCACAGGCTGAAAGTGAAGAGATGGAAAAAGAAGATATTCAATGTGAATGGTAAGCAAAAGAGATCAGGGTAGTTATATCAGACAAAATAGACTTGAAGTAAAAAAAAAACTGTCACAAAAGACAAAGAAAGCCATTATAAAATGATTAAGGGGTCAATTCATTAAGACAATATAATGATTGTAAATGTATATGCACTCAGTATTTGAGAACCTAAATATATAAGGCAAATATTAAGAGAATAGAGAGGAGACATAGAAAGCAATACAATAATAATAGGAAACTTCAGCAGCATTCTACTTTTAATGATGAATAGATGATCCACACAGAAAATCAGTAAGGAAACAGCAAACTTTGACAACACTGTAGACCAAATGGACCTAAAAGACATATACAGAACATTCTATCCAACAGCAGCAGAATATATATTACTCTCAAGCACACATGAAACATTCTCCAGGACAGATCATATGTTAGGCAATAAAACAAGTCTTCAGAAATTTAAGAAGATTGAGATTATATTGAGCACCATTACTGACCAATCAATAAAGGGAGAAAAATTGAATCTTCACAATATGTGGAAATCAAGCAACACACTGATGAACAACCAAGTGATCAAAAAAGAAACTAAAAAAAAATCTTTATACAAATGAAAATGGAAATCACAACATAACAAAACTTATAGAATACAGCCAAAGCAGTTCAAAGAGGAAAGTTTACAACAATAAATGCTTACAGTAAGAAAAAAGAAAAACCTCCAATCAACAACTTAAATTTATACCTGAGGGAACTAGAAAAAGAGCAAACTAAGCCCAAAGTTAGCAGAAGAAGGGAAATAATGAAAGACAGAGCAGAAATAAATGAAAGAGAGACTAGAAAAACAATAAAAAGATCAATAAAACCAAGATACGGTTTTTTTGAAAGAACAAACAAAATTGACAAATTTTTACCTAGAATAAGTAGGAGGGAAAAGACTCGAATAATTAAAATTGTAAATGAGAAACATTACGACTGATACCCCAGAAATACAAAGGATCAAAGAGACTGCTGTGAACAGTTACATGCCAACAAATTGAATACTAAAAAAATGGATAAATTTGAGCTTGCAGTGATCCAAGATTGCACCACTGCACTCCAGCCTGGGCAACAGAGCGAGACTCTATCTCAAAAAAAAAATGGATAAATTCCTAAAAATATACAAACTGTCAAGTCTGAAATATGAAGAAATAGGAAATATGATCACAATAATAGCAAGTAAGAAGATTAAATCAACAATTGAAGACCTCCCAGCAAAGAAAACCCAAGGACCTAATGGCTTTATTGGTGAATTCTTTCAAACATTTAAAGGAAAACTAACATTGATCCTTCTCAAACTCAAGAATATTGAAGAGGAGAGAACACTTTCAAACTCATTTTACAAGGTCAGCATTACCTCAATAGTAAAAAAAAAAAAATTACAGTCCAATATTGCTGATGAACGTAATGGCAAAATACTAACAAACTGAATTCAACAGCACATTAAAAGGATTATTCACCATAATCATGAGGGATTTATACCTGGGATGCAAGGATGGTTCAACACATGCAAAACAATAAATATGATACACCACATGAACAGAATGAACAGTAAAAGTTATATAATCATCTCAACAAACATACAAAAACAACGAAATTCAACATTTTCTCAAGATAAAAACTCTCAGTAAATTAGGTATAGAAGAAATGTACCTCAGCACAACAAAAACATATATGACAAGCCCATAGCTAACATAATACTCAACAGTGTAAAGTTAAAAACTTTTCTTCTACAATCAAGAACAAAACAAGGGGCCAGGCATGGTGGCTTATGCCTGTAATCCCAGCACTTTGGGAGGCCAAGGCGGGCAGATCACGAGTCAGGAGATCGAGACCATCCTGCCTAACATGGTGAAACCCCATCTCTACTAAAAATACAAAAAAAAAAATTAGCTGGGCATGGTAGCAGGCACCTGTAGTCCCAGCTACTTGGGAGACTGAGGGAGGAGAATGGCGTGAACCCTGGAGGCAGAGCTTTCAGTGAGCCCAGATCACGCTACCACACTCCAGCCTGGGCGACAGAGCGAGACTCCGTCTCAAAAAAAAAAAAAAAAAAAAAAAAAAGCAAGACAAAGATGCCCCATTCTTGCCACTTCCATTCCACATAGTGCTGGGAGTTCTAGCCAGAACAATTAGGCAAGAGAAAGAAAAGGCATCCACACTGAAAAGGAAGATGTTAAATTGTTCCTGTTTACAGATAACATAATCTTATATGTAGAAAACCCTTAAGACTACATCAAAAAACTATTAGAACCAATAAGTAAATTCAATAAAGTCACTACAAAATCAACATGCAAAAGTCAGTGGCATTTCTATACACTAAGAACAAACGATCTGAAAAAAGAAATCAAATAAAAATTCTACAATAGCATCAGAAAAAATTAAAAATACTTAAGAATAAATTTAACCAGAAGCTGAAAGATCTGTACATTGAAAACTGTAGAACAGGGTTGAAAGAAATTGAAGAAAACAAATAGATGGAAAGATATCTCATGTTCACAGGTTGGAAGAATTAATATTGTTAAAATGTCTTTGCTACCCAAAGCAATCCACAAATTTAATACACTTCCTATCAAAATTCCAATGGCATTTTACAGAAATAGGGAAAACAATTCTAAAATTCATATGGAACTACAAAAGACCCTGAATAACCATAGCAACCTTGAATAAGTAAAGAAAGCTGGAGTCATCACACTACCTGGTTTCCACAAAATCTACCTGATCTTTGATAAAAGTATGAAGAACACGTGCAGGGAAAGGACAGTCTGTTCAATAAATGGTGTTGGCAAAGCTGGATATGTATATGCAGAAGAATGAAAGTAGTTTCTCATACAATATACAATAATCAACTCCAAATTGATTAAAGACTTAAATATAAGACCTGAAACTGTAAAACTACAAGAAAGAATACACAGGGAAAAAGCTTCTTGACATTGGTGTGGGCAATAATTTTTTATATGACCCCAAAAACACAGACACAAAATGCAAAAACAGACAAGTGGTATTGCATCTAACTAAAAAGCCTCTGTGCAACAAAGGAAATGATTAACAGAGGGAATAGACAACTCACAGAATGGGAGAAAATGTTTGTACACTATATATCCGATAAGGGGTTAATATCAAAATGTAAGGAATTCAAACAACTCAATAGTAAAAAGTAAAAACCTTATTGAGAAGTAAGCAAAATACCTGAATAGACATTTTTTAAAAGAAGACATACAAATAGTCAACATACATATTTAAAAATGTGCAACATCACTAATGATCAGGGAAATGCTAATTGAAACCAGATTGAGATATCACCTCACACTTACTACAATGACTAATATCAAAAGGACAAAAGATTACAAACATTGGCAAGGATGTGGAGAAAAGGGAACCCTGCACACTGTTGGTGAAAATGTAAATTGGTATAGACATTATAGAAAACAACATGAAACTATATTTACAAATTAAAACTAGAACTACCAAATAATACAGCAACCACACTTCTGAGTATATATCCACTATAATTGAAATTAGGACCTTGAAGAGATATCTGCACTCCCATGTTCACTGTAGCATTATTCTTAATAGCCAAGATATAGAATCAATCTAGGTGTCCATGGGCAGATGAATAGATAATGAAAAATATATGTGTGTATAATATAATATGTCATTGTGAATATGTTATTATATATATATATAAACACAATGGAATATTATTCAGCCTTTTAAAAGAAGGAAATCCTGTCATTTGCAACAACATGGATGAACTTGGAGCACATTTGCTAAGTGAAAGAAGCCAGGTACAGAAAGACAAATACTGCATTATCTCAACGTATATGTAGAGTCTTTAAAAATGACATTCATAGAAGCAGAGAGTAGAATTGTGGTTGCCAAGGACTGTGAAGTGGAGAAATAGGGAAGTGTTAACCAAAGGGTACAAAGCTTCAGTTAGGCAGGATGAATAACTTATGAAGATCTAACACAAAGCATGGTAATTATAGTCAATAATACTGTGTTACATGCTTGAAATTTGCTAAGAAGTTGATCTTAAATGTTCTTACCACCAAAAAAAAAGATAATTACGTATGTGATAGACATGTTAATTAGCTTGATTGTGATCATTTCTAATGTATACGTAAATCAAAACATCACATTGTATACTATATTTATTTATTAAAAAATTATTTATATATATAACTCTTGTCAGTTATAAACAATAAAGCTGGAAAAATTAATTCCTTTCCCAGTGTTATGCAATCAGAAAATGATAGGTCAAGGATCTTAACCCAAATAGTCTGTTTCCAGATCCAATACTCTAAGCCATCATGATATTCTTCTCCAAAAGGAGTTTTACAGCAATCTCACTGAGGAAACTAGAAATCAGCACAATACTTAGGTTTTTCATCCTATCCTACTATATTTAAGCCGAGTGAGAGCATGGAAATCATCTTACTGTACATCTTTACAGAGAAGAAAACTAAAGAAATTGGAGCCAGGTACAATGACTATGCCTGTAGTCCCAGCCACTCAGGAGGCTGAGGTGGAAGAATCCCGTGAGCGTAGGAGTTTGAGTCAAGCCTAGACAACATAGTGAAACCCCATTTCTAAAAAAGAGAGAGAGAGACAGAGAGAGATTTCACAGTGGTAATGGAGAATAGATAGATTGAGCAAAAACTTTGTTTTTTTGTTTTTTGTTTTTTTTTTTGAGACTGTCTCACTCTTGTCGCCCAGGCGGGAGTGCAGTGGTGCAATCTCGGCTCACTGCAAGCTCCGCCTCCCAGGTTCACTCCATTCTCCTGCCTCAGCCTCCCCAGTAGCTGGGAGTACAGGCACCCGCCACCACGCCCGGCTAATTTTTTGTGTGTTTTTAGCAGATACCGGGTTTCACCGTGTTAGCCAGGATGGTCTCGATCTCCTGACCTCGTGATCCGCCCGCCTCAGCCTCCCAAAGTGCTCGGATTACAGGTGTGAGCCACCGCGCCCAGCCAAGCAAAAACTTTTTAAAGCAAATGAGGAAATATGAAAATACATAAGTAATATAAAAGAATAAACGATAATATGTAGAGGGACAAGATGGCAGATAGAAAACAGGGTTAACGTGCAGCTCTCACTTGGACAAACAGAACAATGCATGGAGACTCACACCGTTAACTTTTGCTCCAAGAAGCACTGCAGGAATGAACCAGGAAAACCAAAATAGTTCACAGATGCATTGACAGAAGCAGCACACCACTGCGTATTCCATGAGACAGTTGAAAAACTGGCAAGTGCTGGTAACCATGGCTGGCAGACCTGAAGACCAGTCACATCACAGGACTCTTTGCAGATATTCCCCAGCACCAGCTCAGAGTCTGGTAGCCCCACTGGGTGACCAGATCCAGAAAAACAATAACAACCATTGTAGTTCAGCTCTCAGGAACCCCCATCCCTAGGGGAAGTGGAAGAGCATCATATCAAAGGATCAGCCCATGGGACAAAAGAATCTGAACAGCAGGCCTTGCATTCCAGACCTTTCCATTGAAATATTCTACCCAAATGAGAAGAAACCAAAATAGTAATTCTGGTAATATGACAAAACAGAGTTCTACAACACCCCAAAAAGATCACACTAGCTGCCCACCAATGGATCAAACCAAGAAGAAATCTCTGAATTCCCAGATAAAGAATTCAAAAGCTTGATTATTAAGCTACTCAAGGAGATACTAGAGAAAGGTGCAAACCAACTTGAAGAATTTTTTTAAATACAGGATGTGTATGAAAAATTATCCAGAGAAATAGATATCATAAAGAAACAACAATCACAACTTCTGGAAGTGAAAGACACACTTAGAGAAATATAAAATGCACTGGGAAGTTTCAACAATAGACTATAACAAGTAGAAGAGAAAACTGCAGAGCTCAAAGAAAAGGCTTTCAAATTAACCCAATCAGACAAAGACAAAGAAAAAAAATTAATGAGCAAAGCCTCCAAGAACTTTGAAATTATGTCCAACAGCCAAACCTAAGAATAATTGATGTTCCTGAGGAAAAAGAGAAATCTAAAACTTTGAAAAACTTATTTCAGCCAATAATTGAGTGAAACTTCCCTGGCCTTGCTAGAGATCTATACTTCCAAATACAAGAAGCTCAAAGAATACCTGGGAAATTTATTGCAAAAACATCATCACATAGGCACATAGTCATCAGGTTTTCTAAAGTCAACACAAAGGAAAGAAGTTTAAGAGCTGTGAGACAAAAGCATCAGATAACCTATAAAGAAAAACCTATCAGATTAACAGCAGATTTCTCAGCAGAAACTTTACAAGTCAGAAGGGATTGGGATTCCATGATTATCCTCCTGAAGCAAAACAATTGTCAGCCAAGAATTTTATATACAGCAAAACTAAGCTTCATAAATGAAAGAGAGATAAAGTCTTTTTCAGACACTGAATTTGCCACTACCAAGCCAACACTACAAGAAATGCTGTAAAACAATTCTCAATAGTGAAATGAAACTCTGAAGTACACCAAAGTAAAACCTCCTTAAAGCATAAATCTCACACGGCCCATAAAACAATACAATGAAAACACAATGAAAAAGAAAAACAAGGTATTAAGGCAACAACTAACATGATGAATAAAATAGTACCTCACATCTCAATACTAATCCTGAAGGTAAATGAATTAAATGCTCCAATTAAAAGATACAGAATGGCAGAATGAATAAAAATCCACCCACCAAGTATCTCCTGTCTTCAGGAGACTCACCTAACACATAAGGACTGTCATAAACTTAAGGTAAAGGGGTGGAAAAAGATATTCCACGCAAATAGAAACCAAAAGTGAGCAGGAGTAGTTACTCTTATATCAGACAAGACAGACTTTAAAGCAACAATAGTTAAAAAAAAAAAAAAAAGATCAAGAGGGACATTATTTAATGATAAAAGGATTAGTTCAACAGGAAAATGTCACAAACCTAAATATATATGCACCTACTACTGGAGCTCCCAATTTGATAAAAACAATTATGACTAAACCCAAGAAATAAGATAGACAGCAACACAATAATAGCGGGGACTTCAATACTCCACTGACAGTACTAGACAGGTAATCCAGACAGAAAGTCAACAAAGAAACAGTGGACTTAAACTATATCCTAGAACAAATAGACTTAACAGATATTTACAGAACATTCTACCCAACAACTGAAAAATATACATTCTTTCATCAGCACATGGAACATTCTCCAAGACAGACCATATGATAAGTCACAAAACAAGTCTCAATAAATTTAAGAAAATTAAAATTATATCAAGTATCCTCTCAGACCACAATGGAATAAAACTGGAAATTAATTCCAAATAGAACTCTCAAAATTATACAAATACATGGAAATTAAATAATCTGCTCTTGAGTGATCTTTGGGTCAACAATGAAATCAAGATGGAAATTTAAAAATTCTTTGAACTGAATGATAATAGTGACATAACTTATCAAAACCTCTGGGACACAGCAAAAGCAGCGCTAAGAAGAAAGTTCATAGCATTAAATGCCTACAACAAAAAGTCCAAAACGGCAGAAATAGGCAATCTAAAGTCACACCTCAAAGAACCAGATAAACAAAAAACAAAATAAACCCAAACCCAGCAGAAGAAAAAAAATAACAAAGGTCAGAGCAGAACTAAATGAAATTGACACAAAAAAAAAAAAAAACAAAAGAAAAATGAAACAAAAAACTGGTTCTTTGAAAACTTAAACAAAATTGATAGACCATTAGCGAGATTAAGAAGAGAGAAGATCCAAATAAGCTCAATTAGAAACAAAATAGGAGATATTACAATCAATACTCTAGAAATACAAAAGACCATTCAAGGCTACTATGAACACCTTTATGCACACAAACTAGATAACATACAGAAGATGGCTAAGTTATTGGAAATGCATCACCCTCCTAGATTAAATCAGGAAGAAACAGAAACTCTGAACATACAAATAACAAGTAGCAAGACTGAAACAGTAATATTTTTTTCTTTTTTTTTGAGACGGAGTCTTGCTCTGTCGCCCAGGCTGGAGTGCAGTGGCGTGATCTCAGTTTACTGTGAAACAGTAATTTTTTAAATTGCCAACAAAAAGAAAGTCCAGGACCAGATGGTTTCACAGCTGGACTGAAAACTGAACTAAACGGGGAAAAGTTGGAAGCATTGCCCCTGAGAACTGGAACAAGACAAGAATGACCCATTTTCACCACTTCTATTCAACATAGTACTGGAAGTCCTAGCCAGAGCAATGAGACAAGAAAAAGAAACAAAAGTCATCAAACTGGTAAAGAGGAAGTAAAACTGTCACTGTTCGCGGTTGTTATGATCATATACCAAGAAAACCCTAAAGGTCCATCCAAAAAGCTCCTAAATCTGATAAATAAATTCAGTAAAATTTCAGGATACAAAATCAATGTACACAAATCAGTAGCACTGCTATACACCAACAAGAACCAAGCTGAGAATCAAATCAAGAACTCAACTCCTTTTACAACACTTGCAAAAAAAAAATAAAATGCTTAGGAATATACAGAACCAGGTGAAAAATCTCTACAAGGAAAATTACAAAACACTGCTGAAAGATATCATCAATGACACAAACAAATGGAAATACATCCCATGCTCATAGATGGGTACAATCAATATTGTGAAAATGACCATACTGCCAAAAGCAATATATTGCTTTGATGATGCAAAGCATCATATTGCTTTTGGCAGTATGCTCAAAATTGCTGCAGATTCAATGCAATTCCCATCAAAGTACCATCATCATTCTTCACAGAACAAGAAAAAAAAACATAAAATTCATATAGAACCAAAAAAGAGCCTGCATGGCCAAAACAAGGCTAAGCAAAAAGAACAAATCTGGAGGCATCACATTACTCAACTTCAAACTATACTAAAAGGCTATCGTTGCCAAAACAGCATGGTACTGGTATAAAAATACACTTAGACCAATGGAACAGAATAGAGAACCCAGAAATAAAGCCAAATACTTAGGGCCAACTGATCTTCAACAAAGCAAACAAAACATAAAGTGGGGAAAGGACACCCTATTCAACAAACGCTGCTGGGATAACTGGCAAGCCACATGTAGAAGAATGAAATGGGATCCTCATCTCTCACCTTATATGAAACTCATCTCAAGGTGGATCAAAGACTTAAATCTAAGGCCCAAAACCATAAAAATTCTACAAGATAATGTTGGGAAAACTCTTCTAGACATCTGCTTAGGCAAAGAGTTTCTGACCAGGAACCCCAAAACAAATGCAACAAAAACAAAAATAAATAGACTTCTGCCCAGCAAAAGAAATAATCAGCAGAGTAAACAGCCCACAGAATGGGAGAAAATATTCACAAACTATGCGTCTGACAAAGGACTAATATCCAGAATCTATAAGGAGCTCAAATATGCAAGAAAAAAAAAACAAATAATCCCATCAAAAAGTGGGCAAAAAACATGAAAACATAATAGATATATAATCAACAGACATGAAAAATACTCAACATCATTAATTATTAGGGAAATGCAAATTGAAACCACGGTGAGATACCACCTTACTTCTGAGATAATGGCCATTACTTAAATACCAAAAAATAATAGATGTTGGCATGGATGTGGTGACACTTTTACATTGCTGGTGGGAATGTACACTAGAACAACCACTTTGGAAAACACTATGGAGATTCCTTAAAAAACTGAAAGTAGAACTACCGTTTGTTCCAGCAGTCCCAATACTGGGTATCTACCCAGAGAAAAAGAAGTCATTTCATGAAAAAGACACTTGCATGCTTATAGCAGTATAATTCACAATTGCTAAAATATGGAATCAGCCTAAATGCCCATCAATCAATGAGTGAATGAAGAAAATGTGGTATATATACACCATGGAATAAAAAGGAATGAAATAATGGCATTCACAGCAATGAATGGAGTTGGAGACCATTAGTCTAAGTGCAGTAGCTCAGGGATGGAAAACCAAATATCATATGTTTTCACTTATAAGTTGGAGCTAAGCTGTGAGGACACAAAGGCATAGGAATGACATAATTTGGAAACTCGGAGGAAACAGTGGGAGGGGTGAGGGATAAAAGACTACACATTGGGTACAGTGTACACTGCTCAGGTGACGGGTGCACCGAAATCTCAGAAATTACCACTAAAGAACTTATCCATGTAACCAAAAATCACCTGTTCCCCAAAAACTATTGAAATAAAATTTAAAAATTTTTAAAAGAATAAATGACAAAAGACACATTAAATTTAAGCTGTCTTTCTCTTAGGCGCTACTTTGTAAACCTATCCAAAAGAGCATGTGTGAGAATGTAATATAGTATAACCACTTTAGAAAAAAATTGGCAGTTCCTCTAAATGTTCAGTGTAGATATGACCCAGCAATTGCATTCCTAGGTATCTGTCTACTCAAGATAATTGAAACATATGTCTACCTAAAAACTTAAACACTAATGTTTATAGCAGCATTATTCATAATAGCCTAAAAGCAGAAACCTCATTGCCCATCAAATAATGAATAGATTAACAAAATGTGGTATGTCCATATAATTGAATACTATTTGTCAATAAAAACTAATGAAATACTGATCCACAACACGAATAAACCTTAGAAACAGTATGCTAAGTGAAATAGGCAGACACAAATAAACATACATTGTATGAACCCATTTATCAAATGAGTCCAAATTAGTTAAGTCTATGGAGACAGAAAGTAATTTAGTGGTTTCCAGGAGCTAGTGGCAGAGGAGGTAGGGTAAAAGAAAGAGAGCTGTAGCCAATGGATAGAAGATTTCTTTTGGGGCGATGAAAAATGTTCTAAAATTAGATTATGGTGATGGTTGTGCAACTCTGTAAACACAGTAAAAACTAATTGTACACTTTAAACAAGTGAATCTTATTGTATATAAAGTATATATCAATAAGACTGTTAAAAATTGCTTTAAAAACAGCATGTTTGCTTCCTACCTTGACCAAGAGGAGACTAGCAACAACAGCAAAGGTGTTTCATCCCTATCTTTAGCAACATTTGCACTTTTCGTCAGCCCTCTGCTAAACGCATCATTCACTACCAGCAGAGGGAGCTAAAATGATAGTGTTAACCAATCTCTGCTCCCAATCACGCATCCTGTGAAGACAGTAAAAGACTATTTTCAAATTTAAAGAAAATTAGGGACAGTTGAGTTTGTCCCTACTTATTTCTACTTATCAAAAGGATTGAAAAGTTGATGTGACTATTCGTCTCTTTAAAACAAGTTCATATTGATCTACTTATACATCACAGCTTCTTGATTGCACAATATTCTCCATAAGAATATCTAGATATAATGTGATAGAATTCGACATTTGACCAAATCCTTTTGTTCTCTTTCCTTATCACTTGCTTTTTAGACAGTCAATAAAATGCAGCAAAACAAAAAATTTACATCCTCCCATGAAACCTAATCATTACATACATGCATCTCCCAGCTTTACCCCTGCTCCAGGATCAACCAATTTGTAATGTCATTACAGTGCTTAGGATATTACTGCAAAATAAACATTGGCTATTTTTGTTATATCCCAGGTTGATAAAACAGCTTATGAAAGGGCATTCATTTATTCTAGAAATGTTATTGAATGTCTTTTATGTTACCAGGCAGTGGTGAAAAAAAGCAGATATAGAAAGTGCCCTTGTGTGACTTACATTTATATGGGGAGGGGTCTTGATATAGAATAAACATACGAATAAAATGGAACACCAAATTGTAATAAACACTTTGAAGGAAAGGCAGAAAATAATTAGAGAAATTATAACAGGGGCTGGGGGGACCTAATTTAGATTGGGTGGTCAGGGAAGGTCTTTGAGGAGGAAGCACTTACCCCTAAGAATGGAGAAGATAATATTCTAGGCAGGGGAAATAGTATTCCGTGAGCCTTGAGGAAGGAAAAGACTAAAGGAACTTCAAGAAAGCCTGGGGCCTGTGATGAAAAATGGTACTGGCTGAGGTTGAAGAGTAGGGAGAGGGCCAGACCAGGTCAGACCCTGTAGGCCATGTTAAGGGATTGATATTCTATATTAAATGTAATGTGGAGCCACTGAAGAATTTTGAACCCATACGTGGGTTATCATTGTTGCATGTCTAATAAACCATTCTGGCCCTAGAGTAGAAGCTTGATCAAAGAGGCTCAAAAGTAAATGTGAAAAGGGCATGCTAATGTAAGGAAATCAACAATTTTTTGTGAATTGAATGTGAGATTCAGGAGGGTTGGGAAATTGTGGAAGTCATTCTAGAAAATCAATGACACAGTCCCCAGCCTATTTCAGGGCAGGCTCCAGAATTCATGGCACAGTCTGTGTTCATTCCATTTCCCTGCTAACACCACTCCTAGCTACATCCTCAAAAAAGGATCAGCAACTATGAAGAGCATAGCCAAGCAACAGTAATTCTGCTTTTCCCTCTCTCAGGTTATGTAGAATCAATCCTAAAAAAGAAAAATAATAACAAACTACTCGCATGCTTCCCTGAGAAAACACGCCTAATTTAAAAATATATACGTGCTTTCCTAAAACTGTGGGCCCCTGTTGCTCCAGCTGTTAGAGTTACAATGGTGCATCAAATGAGGGTAATCAATTTAACACAGATGAGTAAAGATATAATATTTCAAGCTGAGCATTGGAATTAACTAAATTTACATGCATGTTGTAGTGGAAAAAGCAGGGAATGTAATTTCAGAGGACATGGGGTCAATCCTTACTCAACCACTTACAAGCTCTGTGACTTCAGGCAATTTACTCAACTTCTTTAAACCTCCAGGTCCCTGTGTGTAAAATGTAGATAATAATAATGTCCACCACACAGAAAGGTTATGAACATGAAATGAGTATGTTAAATGTTCAATGGCTTTTCGATGTAATTATTTTAAGAATATACTTCCAAAAATGTAATCAAGTTCCTCAAAATAAATTTCTATTAAAAATAGAAATCATTCTAGAAAATAGCATTTTCCTTAATAACATTTAACTTGATTGAACATATTAATCTAATTTAATAAATTGAAATATGTTAGGTAGTTCTCTGCATCAAAAAAGTACCATACAAACAACTATAAAGGAACTAGTTATAACTTTTCATTATTGTAGAAGTGCTAGATATCAGGAAAATAAAGGGACATGAAATAAATGGAATGTAAAAAATACCACCTTAGGTTCTAAAGAATGAGACTACTTATTTCCAAAGGCATATCAATATACCCTGGAAACAAAATAATCATTCAGTGTAAAAGCATTATGAAAATATTTCCAGTATCTCAGTTCCATCACTTACTCATTATGTGACTTTACACACTTAAAAGTCTATAAACGTCAACTTCCTCATTTATGAAATGGAGATAATTGAACCTAATTCATAGGTTGATTGTGAAAAGTCAAATAAAATTGTACTTGTAAAGCACTTTAACACAGTCCCTGACACAAGTAGGTACTGAATAAATGTCAGTTGTCATTGATATTATTGTTGTTGTCTCAATATCTGAAAGTATGTTCTAGGTTTTTTGCTTAGAGAATATTTTGGGGTGTTTATTTCAGATATTTTCAAATAGAATAAGTGAATTCATTCCAAGTAGACCCAGTCTCCATCACAATTAACCAAGTGTAGTGGCATGCACCTGTAGTCCCAGATACGTGGGAGGCTGAGTGGGAGGATCTCTTGAGCCCAGAAGGTTGAGGTTGCAGTGAGCCACGATCATGCCACTGCACTCCAGTCTGGGTGACAGAGCAAGACCTTGTCTCAAAAAAAAAAATTACTCTTTCTAAGGGTTATTAAAGACCTCCACAATGCTAAACCTTATAGACGTTCTCCCTCTTCATTTTAAATTAATTATGAGTATAGTTTACTATTGATCACTCCTTGTCGCTTGAGATAGTTTCTTTCATAGCTACCAGACACTGCTGTCTTCTAATTTTCCTCTACTCTTACTGGCCACTTCTCCCTAATCTTTGCTGGTAATGATTCTGTGCATCAGCCTCTGCAGTTGACCTTTTATAGGCTAGCTTTCAGAGCACTTCAGGTTCAGTACCTGGACCTCTTCCCTATTCTACCTCTACCCATCCCATTAGTGATCTCAACAAGTATTGTGGCTTTTAATACTATGTACATTCTGACAATTACCAAATTTTAATATCCATCCTAGAGTCCTCCTCTGAACACCAGACATATATATTCAATTACATATTGTTTGCATTCAGACATAATATACTCTCTAAATTAACACATTCAATTCCTGCCTCCTTTTCTTTTCTTCCAAACTTTTTCTTCCCACAGTCTTCCACATCTCAGTTAACGACAGCTTCATCCTTCCTGTTGATCACAACAAAAACCTTGAATTCTTCCTTGATTATTCCCTCCCTGTCACAAACTTCAAATCCAATTCATCAGCAAATTCTGTCCAATCTATTTTCAGGACATATCCCAAATCCAGCCCCTAATCCAGCCGCTGGTTTCACTTCCACCGTTATCACCCTAGTTCAAGCCACCACCTGGACTAAGATATCCTTGCCTTTTCCTCCACCCCTCTTCATAACTCATCTCTTCCCCACCCAACAGACAAAAACATTCCTTTAAGTATAAATTAGATTGCATCACTCTTCTGCTCAAACCCTCCAGTGACTCTCCATCACACTCAAAGTGAAATCCAAAGTCCTTGCAATAGCCAGTCAGAGACCATCCTGAAGTCCTCCTTCCTTTTCAGTGCACTCCAGCCACACTGGCCTCCAACTGCCCATCAGACATGACAGCCTGCTCCAGCCAGCTCAGGGTCTTTCTATTTGCTGTTTCTTCTGTCTGGAAAGCTCCTCCCCATGGATGCCTGCACAGCCCACTCTCTGATTTTCTTTAGGTCTTTTATCTGACATCACATCTTAGTGAGCCCTCCCCTGGCCATTCTACTTAAAACAGAAATTCACCCTCCCTGACCTCACACTTCTTACCTTCCCATCACTGCTTTTTTTAATTACCACCTGACATTCTATATATTTTAGATTTTAGAATATGTTATATTTTATTAATTTTATTCTATTTATTGTCTGCCTCTCTAGAATGTAAACTTACTCTAGAATGTAAAGGGCAGGGATTTTTATTTGTTTTTGTTTGCTTGCTATTCCTCCAGAACCAAGAGGATCTTGCCATAGCAGGCACTCAATAACTACTTGTTGAATAAGTGGCAATGACGAAGGAAAGCCAAAAATAGATGTTAATTGACCTCCTAAACATTGTTAAAGCCTTAAGCCTTCTGGCACTTAAGTAGTTCAATTTTAAACTTAAACAATATTTTAATGTGCCTGTGAAACAAAATCTAGTATAGCACACATAATAGTTGGTCCCAAGCCAGGTGCAGTGGCACCCACCTGTAGTCCCAGCTACTCAGAAGGCTGAGGTGGATCGCTTGAGCCGAGGAGTTTGAGTCCAGCCTGAGAAACATAGTGAGACCCAGTCTCTAAAAATTTTTTTAACAAAAATACTGGCCCAGATCCCATACTTGCTAAAGGTAAGCCAGGCACAGAGCAGTGAGAGGTGTGTGGGCAAGCGAACACAGGGTCTGGCCACTGCACACAGCCAGTCACACTGGCTGTTGCAGTGGGGCGGGCAGCTCCAGGCACCAGCACAGGTGCTGGCTCTGTGCAAGGCTGTGGCTGGAAGAGATGTACTGCACACATCCACTGCAGTCACTCGTGTCTGGATGGGTGGAACACCATGGCACCCAGAAGCTTGGAGATGCCAGGAACTGCAGAGCCCCAAAGAGGGTGTCACAGCTCTGGCTCAGGGAGCCCCTAGGTCTGGGTTCCCCAAAAGGCCATAGTTCTTCTGTTTTTCTCATCACCCACAATATGGCAAGAGGCATGTGGGGGTGTTTTTCAGGCCTGTTGTGTTATAGCTATTTCAGTCCTGTCATTCAGTAGGTCCTGAGTTCTTGTCCCATGTCCAGAAAGAACAAGGTACACAGACAACTGGAGGGCAAGGAAGGCAGAGAGGAGCATCACTGAGCAATGGAACAGCTCTCAGGACACCCACAGTGGGTAGCTCCTTTCCATAGGCAAGTCATCTTGACATCTATTCAAGTCTAGCTGAGTCTAGGGTTTTTATGGGCTCAGAAGGGAGGAAGTACATGCTGATTGGTCCATGGGTGGCCATGAGCAGGCCCAGAAGAACCAGCAGCCCAGCCCCAGGCTTCAGGCAGTCACTGGCTTGAAGGTGCAGTTTCACTAGGGACCCACCCTTTTCTGTCCAGATGTCTGCCTGCCCTCATTAACATGCTGTCCACCATGCCCAGGCTGCTCACAACAAGGGGCACCTGCAGGCCCATGCAGAGCAGTTCTCAGTTGCCCTGACATCCCTCCCTGAGCTCATTGTTGCCCAAATCTTCAAACGGGGGCCAAGGTGGCAGGGGGCTGGTGTGTCAGTGCCACCCAAGCATGTGCACACCTGGCTGGGTCATGACAGCACCCAGGCTCGGCTTCAACTTTGCCCAGAAATCAGAGCAGGCACCAGGAGTGGGGAGAGGCCACAGAGTGGGAGCAGGCACTTCCAAGCCTACAGGGGCAGGGGGGCTTCCCAGGCCCCTGAGAGTTCAGAGATGACCAGGTCCAGAGCTGCAGCTGGTTGCCTCAGATGTGCCCAGGAACGCAGGGCTCCCACCACTTTAACTTGTTAACGGGCAGGCTCCCACCTGTTCCCAGCCCCTGCCAGCTCTGTGGAGTGCACAGCCTCAGCCACACTGTCCCCTGCTGCAGCTGGCATCCCCACAGTGGCTGCTCCAAATGGGCCACCACTGCCATCAATTTCATATATGGACAAATCAACAGTATAAACAAAAATTAGAAATCCACGTTTGTGTTGTTACCAATTGAATGTCCACAGTGAATTGGCACTGGAGTGCTCACTCAAGAGGTTTTTTTTTTTTAACACTCTATGGAAAACATTGATTTTGCTCTGAAAAGTCTTCAACTTAATAAATATTTAAGGAAGTCGAGCTAATTAATATAGCAACCTGCCTATATGTTGGAGATGACACACACCTTCTATGACACTCAAAGCAGCCTTGAAATTGAGATGCCAAAACCCATGATGGGCCCCACCCCCATTTATCAATATGATCTCTTGATCCATTTTCTTTGCTTGCACAAGAATAAACCTCAACCAACAAGCTGTTGCCACAATTATACAACCTCACAAGTAAAGGAAAAATGGAGAGAAAAATGCCTAAAGAAAAAAGGCAGATAAAAAGTAAAACTGCATCCCACTAATTGAGAAAGATAATAATTTTATTAGTGTTCAGAATAACTTTATCTATCTATGAAAAGAAGAATTGCTAAACAAATAAGTAGAAAAAAAACCATTCTAAGGAATGTGGCTCATTTGTGCATGCCACTTTATTTTCTCATTGGTAAATTTTGTTTCCAAAAAAGATCATTCGTGAAACTTAGTACAGTTGGTAAATATATACTGTGTGTTTGTGTGCAAGTGTGTGTGTGTGTGTGTGTGTTATCAAGGCCTGCCACTCCCACTAGACCAAAAGCTCCAGGAGGTCAGGAACCATTTCTATTTTCCTAGTCAGTATATCTTCAGCATGAAACACAGTGCCTAGCCCAGAGTAAGTTCTCAATAAATATTTGGCCAATGAATAAATAAATGTCCCTTTTCTAGCACTCTCTGTGCCTAGCATAGTTTAAATCTGTAGTACTGGTCAATAGATTGTTAACGAATTGCATTAAGAGAATAGTCTTGAGGAAGGTGGTTTTAGAATTAGGAGTTTATTAATTAAACTACTGAAACAATAATTATAAGTCATTTGTAACTATTCCCTCAGGCATGTGCTTAATTTGACACTATGTTGTTACATGCCTGCTTCATACGAACATTGATATACCTTTCAACTGAGAAAATACCTGTAGTATTTGACACCATCTACCTGTCCTCCTGGCCACAGCCTTCCTGGGCTTCTTTCTAATACCCTTTTGTAACTACTCCTCTTTGGTCCTGCAAACTCCTCTTCCTGGTCTGTCCCCTTATTATTGATATTTCTCAGGTTGGTCTTCTTTCTCTCTTCTGTCAGGGAAGCAGCATAAAATAGGGTTTATCAACATGCGTTTAGAGTCAGCCTGCTTGAGGTTAAATCCCAAATTTAAAACTCTCTAGCTGTGTGATCTTAGGCCTCATTTTCCTCATGTATAAGATAGGGTATCTATAAAATGTAGATGTTAATAATACCTAACTCATGGGGTTGTGAGGATTAAATGAGCTAATACTTGTAAAGTTCTTCAAACAGTGCCTGATACATATTTAGTGCTCAATAAATGTTGGATATTTATCTATAACCTCTTCCTCTGATATTTCATCAGTTCTCACACTACATCCATCACCTCTTAATATCAATGTCAATCATGACCACTTCACTAACCAAAATTCCCAAGTGCAAGGACATCTATCCTTGCCCTCTCTCTAATGCACCTGAATACCCAGCTGAGTCCAAACCACTCAAACTCAACACACAAATCTCGACTCTTCTTCCCGAAATATCCTCATTTTTAATAGCACCACCTTTCTTCTAACCAGCCCACTTGGAAATTTTCATTATTGTATTCTTCTAGCTGGCATAGCCAGCTAGAAGCATGTGCTGAATCCGTAAGTATGTGCAAAATCAGTGGTTTCTTGGTCACTTTCTCCCTTCAATCAGTTCCAGACCCTGCTGCCAGAGGAATCCTTCTAAGACATAGTTTTAATCAAGTTTCCCATTTATCTACAAAGCATGTGAACTTAATGCAATCTTCTCCAAAAGCCCAAGAGTTAACCACATTGTATTAGTTAAAATTTTCAATGGATTCTAAGCTTTTCTGCCATCATCCTCTTGCTCACACTGTCCCCTGCTCCTAAATGTCTTTCTCCAATGTCAAATTGTTGCCAATCATTTAAGACCCATCTCGGATGCAGCCTGCTCCATAAAACCTTCCCTGATTCCATCAGTAGGATGTACTTCCCCTTGCCTCCAAACTCCTATAACTCTTTGAACCGTTCCTAATGAGTTTCTCATATGCTACACGTTAGTATGGTTATTTGCCTAAACTTTGAATCTTCCTTGCCAGATTGAGAAGTCACATAATGTATAGGACGGAGCCAAATTTACTATATATTTAGGAATGTCTTTCAAGTTCTCTGAGCCTCAATTTCCTCAAGTTCTCTGAGCATCAACTTCCTTATATATAGTATGGGGAGAATAAAAGCTCATGAAGACATAAAAACTGGTGTTTACAAAGACATTTGATGATAAGGGAAAATATTTTTCCCATTATAAGTGAAAAATTATCACAATTAGGTAAAAATATATAAGACACTAAAAAGATTGAAAGAAAACAGAAGAAAAATATTAACAGTAATTATCTTCGAGTGGTGGATTGCAGATGATTTTCATTTTGTTCTATGGTTGCTTGCTTTCCAATGTTTCTACAACTCACTTGTATTCCTCTTGTAACTGACCCATCAAACAAACATTTATAGAATACCTTCAGAGACTATACTATGATCTGATGATACAAAAAATAAGAAAAAGCCAGTTTATAAAAGGTTTTTATAAAAGGAAACATTTTAAAAATACTAGTGTGATATATGGCTCTCAGTAGCATCCAAAAAAAGGAAAAAAGACATTTCTGCCTCAAAATGCATCAAATTTCAGTCATAATGTGACTGGAAAAAGCTTAAGTAGAATAAAGAACCTAGGAAATCACCTGCCAAAAATATATGCCATCACAAGTTGTTAGGATACTGACACAGCTCCTGAGTTTTGGGTTTTTAGAGCCAAAACTGGTCTACCACTGGGAGAGAAAAACACGAATATAGAGACAATTGCATCAAGTCTGTGATCAAGAATTTATGTCTGGCTCAAATCCAAAAATCCGTGTCAAGAAAGATTTGAAGCTGCAAAGGTACATGTTATAGTCAGCACCCTTCATTATTTTAGAAACTCTTCTCAACTGCAAACTTGACATGTCCAAAGCTAGATTTATTGTCTTCTTTTCAAAGCCTGCTCTCCTTCCAGGTCTTAAAAACGTGGCTTGAGTCAAGTAGAGACCACACATTCAATGTTAACTGTGCCATTTATTGGCAGAGTGACTTTGGAAAGTTATTTGATTTCTCTGAGCCTTGTTTTCTCTTTACAAAAAGAGGATGATTATATTTATCCTACAGGGTTCTTGAGAGAAATAAATGGGGAAAAATGTATTTAAGGTACTTAGCATAGTACCTGGCAAAAATAAGGACTCAGAAATGGTAATTATTTTGCAGGAAATAGTCACAGCCTACCCAACCTCCCAGGCTAAAGGCAATGGAGACATTACAGCCATTCTGTGCCCTGTGTGTACCACAATCACCAAATCCTGCCAATTCTGCCCCTGAAATATCTCCAAATTCTAACACATGCCTCCTCTCATGTCTACTGTTACATATAGCATTATACATTATACATTATACATACATTATAGCATTTCTCACCTCTTGATCAAATCAGTAATACATCCTGACTCCTGCTTCTACCACTCATTTCTGACTTCTCCCACAGTTTCCCCATACTGACACCAGAGTTCTACTTTCTCAGAGATAAAATAAGACTATGCCACTCCCCTGCGTAAAGATGCCCTGGCCTCCTGTTGCACCCAGAACCAAGTCCAAGCTTAATAACACAGCATACAGCACCATGTTAACAACCCCTCTGCCTTAGCATATCTTTTCAGGTTCACCTTATGCCAGTCTCCCAAGACTCACACATGTTTACCCTAAGCTACAGCCATGCTAATTAATCATTATCTAAAAATTATATTTTGTCTCCATCCAACTCCTAGGAATGCACTACTATTCCTCGTCACTTAACAAACTCCTGCTGATCTTTCGGGAACTCACTCTAAACAACACCTTTTCTATGAAACCTTTCTCTGAAGCAGAGTTAGTTTCACCTCCTTCTTTCCCTAACAGCATATGTTTTCATCCTGGTTATTGTGCAACATTTTAATTATTTGTTTTCCATGTCTCTTCTCAACTCAGCAGTGAACTGTTTGAAAGCAGGTTCCATATGTATTTATTCCCACATTCCCAGTGCTTGGCATCTATTTGGATGGGCAATCAATGTCTTTGAATAAACGCATTCTGGTTAAGATTGGGAACTGAAGCTTCACTAAAACTGGAAACTGTGGCCTGTTAAATGTAACTCAGTAAGAATGTTTCACTAACAAATGTTCCCAACAGAGTTGGCCCCAAAATTTTGTGACATACTCTGCTTTCATGAAATCATGATAAATGTTCAAAGTACTCATATCATTAGGAAAGAAGAAAGGAAGCAAGGAAGGAAGAGAGGAAGGAGAAAGGATCTATTTGTGTGTTTCTGTCCTCCCATTTCTGTAGAGTTGTAAAGACTCTCTTAAGGGGAAAACCCCTAAGGAAAAGAATGAAAAGTCCCTTATTGCTGTTATATAGTAAGTGTTACTTCATGCGAAGCCCTTTAACACACATTAGCTTTCATTCTACTAACAGTTCTACAGACTTGGTGCAATTATCCTCATCTTGCAGATGAAGAAACTCAGAGATAAGTTTCTCCAAGTCTCATAGCTTATAAATGACTGAGTAGAGATTTGAATCCTGGCTTGTGGGAATCCAAAGGCTATATTGTGCTATTATGCCATACTCCCCTTCTACTAGGTGACTCAGCCAATGACCCTCACCCCATCCCACCCATTTCCAGCAATCCTGAGGGGAAAATAGGGAGAAAATATGAGTGAGAAAAGCAGAAAAGATATGAGCAAAACAAATAAAGCTTGGTAAGAAAACAAAAGGGATCATCTCTTTAAAAATGTATTCAGACTTTTTTAAAAACAGCAATGAGATTTATCTTGGCAAACTGCCCATCTAAAATCCAAGCAAAAAAATCAATGAAACTTAAAATCAAAATGTTATTTCTTATTAAAGAACAATGAAAGCAAGCAGGGTCATTTTGTTAATCCACAACCATAATAATACTCGACAAAAGGTTTCTGTAAATTTTAATTGCGGTAATCTGGACAGTGTTTTACTATGACTCATTGACTAGAGCCGCAGTGTTTATGCAATATGTTTTACCCTGCTTTATGAGATTGTAATTGCAGTGAAATGCTACTATACATACTCAATTAAAATACACCAGACTTATCAAAATACAACATTTTGGGAAATAGCATGTTTTTACTTATTTACTTTATAAATCCTGCATGTCCTTGGGATAAAATCCACAAAATTTATTCTTCTAGGTGAGCTTTATCATTCCATCTCCTTACTTTTACTATTTCTGCTCAACACTTCTGATTTTCTCTATTCTGAAATATGCTTACCCACTGTATTTATTCTCTAGCGTTTGAGAGAGTTAAGCCCTAACATATAGAATGCTTTATACTAGCCTTTTCACAAATGTTTGTCAAGAGTGGGAATACAGGGAGTTCTGCAAAGGGGACTGTGCCCTGTACCTGTACTCTGCAAAGGGGACTGTGCCCAGTAATGGCTGCTCATCTCATCTGAGCTGGCTACTTCCTTTCTTCTCTCTCTAGGTTTTCCTCTCAATGACACTTTCCACCTTTTCCTCATACAATGAGTTCTGTTGCTTTTCTGTCTTCTTTTTCTTCAAAAAATAGTTTATTGGATAGGTATTCCATGGTTGGGTGATGTTTACAGATCTACAGTTCCTTAGCCAAAAACATCAGGGTGACAGATGTTACAGAATTCGGAATTTTGGAGGATTTTAGAAATAGAATATATTAAGAGTGATATCCTATATATTACATAAAATCTTCAGTTGGGTTTGGGGAAATACCCTACAATCAAACACATCCATATTTCTGCAGCAACTTCAATGAATATTTACATGACATGAGAGAAAGCTTATAAATAGATTCACATCAGTTCAGTTTAAATGATGCCACCAAATATGTTTCAAAAAAACCTTCCCTTTTCAGAACTCTTAGGATTTCAAAACTGCAGATGAAGGATTTTGGGTCTATACATACTCTAGCTGCAGGACTTGGGGGAAGCAGCTTTGCAAAAAAGGAACCTGTTAGCACTTCATCATTTTGGAGCACAGCCCAAGTTTGTCTGTGCCCTGCCATTTAAGTACGAACACATGGACATGATAGATGGTTAAAAATCCTAAAAGTGAAGTTCTAACAAGACCAGAAAAAGATCCATCACATTGGGCATATGGAAGTATCCACGTCTGGAAATGAAGGTAATATTTGGCAGAATTAAATAAAGCACACAAATGAGCAGGAAGATCATGCAATTTCAAGTATTTTGTTATTTTTTTCTCATTAATTTTATTCCTGGTTTTAAAAGAAAACCTACCCCTAGTTTACATGTGAGTTTGATTGGGCATATGTTCTCAGGAAGCAGGCTGCATACCAGTAGGAGCATGTTCATTATCATACATGGAATTAGACAAGGGGATCAAACAGAGTTAAACAATTGATAATATCATATACCACTGTCCTTTCTTTTCGAACGTTGTGAACATGTGGATATATTTAAAGGTTTCCTTTATGTTGGATAAAATCAAGGACAGATCTGATTGATTTTACATAATAGGCTATTTCAAAGTAATGAATTAGCTGAACTAACGTTTTCTCGCAAAATAAATAATTCTGAAAGAAAATAGATCTTTATTCTTAAATCCCCCTCCTCCTTTCTCAATTAATTAGATTTTGTTGGTGAAAGGAAGTTAAGAAATTCCACATAAGCCTGATTATATCATGAATGTAAAATGAGCAGGGCAAATAATGGGCTCTATACTCTTTCAAACAAGTTAAATAAGTCCATAATAGCCCACCAGTTGTGTAAACACTATTTCACTATACTTGTAAAAGAAATATTGACTTACCTGTTAACTAAAATTACCCTGGCATGCTTCAACTAAGCTTATTAATAATTCCTGTGGTGTATGTGAATGTTTTTAGTTGTGGACTTTTATCAAAGATTAAAGAATTAGGAAAACATCCGTTCAGCAAGCCCAGAAAGTAGACACGTAGCAGAATACACTTCACCAGAGTCAATTTTAAGAACTTGCAATATAAGAGTCAAAAGAATAAAGAGTGGTTTCTATCCTGGCCAGAGATAGTCCGTTATACCACAGCTTAATAACACAGAAATACATTCCAAAATTATAAATAGGAACATCTCTCCCAAACAAAATACTAAATGAATATCACATTAGCCTACTCGCCTTACATGTAAGATTCGTGATGTTTTTTCTCTGATGTCTCACCAGGATGCATGCCTGTGAGTAACTGATTGAAAGAAACCAGAAGTATACATATTTCAGGTGAAAGAATGTTTAAGATATCACTTGGCCCTACCATTCACATAATAAATCACCATTCTTTGCTCCAACTGGTTCTACTGCAGTTCACAAAGATCACATTTTCTTTATAAAAACAAGTGAATTTCTTTCTCAATAAAATAATAATAAACCCATATTCTATCCAGTTTAAGTCTCTATGTGACTAGAATTCCCAAGGGATTTTGAAAAGGATTCAGCACTTCAAGTCAAAAGGCTCGGTTGGAATTTTGGGTCCATCACAAACTTTCTGGTCATCATTAGGAAAACCACTTGCATTTTTTATCCTTAAATGTAGGGTAAGAATCGTACCTACCTCTTATCAAGACCCAACAAGAACATGTGGCTGTGTAAAGGGCTGAGTCAATGTTGATGGTCATTATCATGCAATTTAAGAACCTGATCTTATCAATTAAATGGCATTTGTCACCAAACAGAGACCACTGCTCAACAGCCTTGCTGAAACTTTATTTTCAAGTGAAAGGAATTTGGTTTGCTGTATTTCTATCTTTATTAGCTAAGATAAAGTGATTAACATGCATTCATTCAGGCCACAAAATCATCAGCAGCTGGACCATTCCTAGTTTCCATATCATTCTCTATGAAATAAGGTTTACAAGACCTTGAAGATTCATCAGGCCACTCTCAAATGTTCATGTTTCCTGTGCTTTGAGTTTTTACTGAATATGCTTGATTGTAAGTGATCACAGATGAATTTTCACTCACCAGTTCCAACAACAAAATAAAACAAAATTAACTGGTTTATCCAATGGAGAGGTGATAGAACAGAAGTGGCTTTAGATTTAGTTGTTTAGAAGATGACCTCAGGATTTTGCTTCTCTCCTTTCTAATGCTAATATTCCATTTCTAGTGAGCTTCTTCACGAAGCAGAACAGCAGTCCCCATAAGCTTCAGGTTTGCTTGTCCTTAGAGCTCATGAAGCCAGAGAAGACCCTCTCATCCCAGGGTCTAGGACAATCCCCCAGCCAGATTCAGATTGTTCTGCTTCTGTTATATTCCTGCACCAGAGACAGGGAGATGGGGTCATATGACGTACAGTCCTAAGGTGTGGGGGAAAGTTTCCCAAAGGGCACTCTTACCAAAAGGAGAGGAGAGAAATGTTGGGTATACCAAAAAAAAAAAAAAAGAAAGAAGGAAAAGAAAAGCAACAGATTTTTACTATGCCTAACCTCATCCAGCAGAACCATCTTCTCTACTTATTGAGTTAAAAAATCTCTCTGCTATACATAAATTTGTTAACAAACTCCAATTACTGAAAAGAAGAGGGAACACACTGACACACATTGAAAATCTACTCTGGTCTAGGCCAATTTCTAGATATTTTAACATTTATAACAACCTAGGTTGTTTTAATAATATCCCCCATTTACAGAGAAGGTAACTGACACTTAGGCTCATTCTGTACCTGTGATCAATCAACCTGAAACTGGCAAAACCTAGATTCAAACACAGTTCTACCTGATTCATTCCACAACGAAAGTGTTATGCTTCTTTTAGCAACTTTGAAGTCAGAGAAAGTGTTGTTTAATGTCTTTAAACAGATGGTGGGCACAACCATATTTGGATGCCTATGTGTATGAGCTAATCAGTCAACAAATATTTGTTAAGTACTCACTACTATGAGTCCCTAATATGAGTCCTACAGGTAAAGAAGAGACAAGTGGTCTAGACCCTGCCTCCAAAGTGGTTAAGTTGGAAAAACAAAACAAATATGCATTCAAAAAAAACTTTAGCTTTAAACCATATGATACTTATAAATACATTTCAGTGAGACTCATCACCCTTGGGATTCCTGTTTAGAGTGTCATGTCCTGTAGACTGCAAGCTCTACCAGGACACTGCTGCATCACAGCTGTAGTTTAAATATCTGCTGATTGGTGATTAATGCGGACTATGCTCATGGGAGGTGTCACAGAAAGAATAAGTCTTGAGCTGCCTTCACAAAATAAATAATGTGGGGGTATGGTTGGGGTGGGTTTTTTTTTTTTATTTAAAAAGGGAAGGCAGGTAGAAAGATAACACTTCACCCAGAAAATAGAAAACTTGTGTGTGACCTCAGCTATCAGCATCGTCTGCATCACCCTGGCTAACCAAGAGGCCCTGAGTCTGTCCATATGACCTGTTCATTGCTACTATAGTCAGCATTGGAAAAGCCAACACATTAAGATTATCCATAGCCAAGGAATCTCACAGAGTCTACATCACTCCCCTGGCACCCCCGTCAGAGCTAGAGCTGGTACCTGCAGCTGGAAGACTTGAGGACAGGCTACACCTCTGGAGCTCTTGCAGATATTCCCCAGCACCAGCCTGGAGCATCACAGCCACACTGAGTGGCTAGACCCGGAGGAGCAGTAGCATTTTCAAGTAGTCTGGCTCTCAGGGACTCCTACTCATAGGAGAAGGGGGAATGTACCACATCAAGGGAATACCCAGTGGGACAAAGGGACCCAGAGAGTAGGCCTTAAGTCCTTGATCTTTCCCCTGGTGGGAAGTCTCTTTCAGAAAAGGCACAGCTGCAGTGCTAGGCTCAGCAGAGAAACTCTTAGGCCCTACTCCAAAAGTCAGGCAACCCTGGTGCTCATGAAGGGTCTTAGAGAAGGGGACGTCTTCTCCCTGTCATCCATCACTGCAGACACAGCTGGGGCTTTTCCCATGGGAGCTTGGCATGTGTGCACCTATAGGAAGCCTCTCTGGAATACTTCAGGGTGACTCCATCCCCACAGGAGGCGCACTCTCCAGGTGCAGGCTTGCATGAGAAGTAAAGTCACAATTCCTCTCTACTTGGAACATCAACAGGCTTGTACATAAAAAGAGGTGTCTATCTGATCAGAATAGCCAGAACATTGGCTCAGGGGTGTTTGAGAGGTAGATGGCTTTCCTGCTGGCCTGGCAAGGGTAGGGGTGGGTGCAGTCTTTCCCTCTGATAAGGCCTCAGTGCATTTCACTGAGAGCTCCCCCAGCCACCCCTGCCCACCATTTGGTATTGTGTTTAACCACATGCTTTAGCCACATCCTGTTATTACCCATGGACACCATACCCCTATTGGCATGACGCCTGAACTATTCAACCTAGTAAATAAAATAATAGGGAAAGTAAATAAATAAAAAAGTGTATGCCATGGGGGAATGAGATAAGCTTCAAGAAACGTCTACCATTCCAACCCTATTAACAGACTGTGAACTTGCTCACACATTAAGCGTATTGCTACTACAACCAGAAACTGAGAAAGTCATCATACAAAGACTCTCTATAACCAAGGAACTCATACAGAGGCTTCACTCCTGAAAGCACCAAGAGCCAAATTAAGCTACAATAAACTATAAACATTAAAGTCACATCCTTAAGGAGGAAAAAAAGAATTTTTAAAAATACACAGTGAAATCACAAATTCAAGAATAATTAGAATAAATAGTCTACACAAATGAGAAGGAACCAAAAAAGTAATTCTGGTAATATGACAAAACAAGGTTCTATAACACCCTCAAAAGATCACACTAGCTCCCTAGCAATGGATCCAAACCTAGAAGAAATCTCAGAATTGCCAGATAAAGAATTCAGAAGGTTGATTGTTAAGCTACTCAAGGAGATACAAGGGAAAGGTGAAAGCCAACTTAAAGAAATTTTTTTACATGCAGGATATGGATGAAAAATTCTCCAGAGACATAGATATCATAAAGAAAAAACAATCCCAACTGCTGGAAGTAAAAAACACACTTAGAGAAATAGATAACCAGGAAAGGACATAACAAAAAAGAAAATTACAGACCAATATCCCTGATGAACAAACATGCAAAAAATCCTCAACAAAATACTAACTAACCAAATTCAACGGCACATCAAAAATAAAACACACCATGATCAAGTGGGTTTCATACCAGGGATGCAGTATGAACTACTGGGCCATGCCCTGGTACTGGTCCACGGTCTCTTAGGAAATGAGTCACACAGCAGGAGGTGTGTGGTGGGCAAGTAAGCATTACCACTGAGCTCCATCTCCTGTCAGGTCAGCAGCGGCATTAGATTTTCATAGGAGCGTGAATCATATTGTGAACCGTGCATGGCAAGAGATCTAAGTTGCACACTCCTTATGAGGTGGAAGAGTTTCATCATGAAACTATTCCCCCATCCCCCACTTTCCCCCAGAAAGGCTGGGGATCACTGGTTTAACATACTGGAGTCAATAAATGTGATATATCACATAAACAGAATTAAAAACAAAAACCATATGATCACCTCAATAGATGCAAAAAAAAAAAGCATTTGGTAAAACCCAGCATCCCTTTATGATAAAAAACCTTCAACAAACTAGCATTGAAGGGACTTACTTCAAATTAATAAAAGCCATATATTACAAACCCACAGGCAACATCATACTGAACAGGAAATGGTGAAAGCATTCCCCCTGAGAACTGGAATAAGACAAAGATGCCCACTTTCACCACTTCTATTCAACATAGTACTGGAAGTCCTAGCCACAGCAATAATGCAAGAGAAAGACATCAAGGGCATCTAAATGGGAAAAGAGAAAGTCAAACTATTACTGTTCACTGAAGATATGTTGGTATACCTAGAAAACCCTAAAGACTCCTCTAAAATAATCCTAGATTTAATCAACAAATTCTGTAAAGTCTCAGGTTACAAAATCAATATACACAAATCAGTAGCCCTGCTATATACCAACAATGACCAAGCCAATAAACAAATCAAAAACTCAATCTCTTTTACAGCAGCTGCAAACAAAAACAAAAACAAAATCCCTAGGAATATACTTTACCAAGGGGGTGAAAGATCTCTACAAGGAAAACTACAAAACACTGTTGAAAGAAATCATAGATGACACAAATGAATGAAAACATAACCCATGTTCATGGATTGGAAGAATCAATATTGTGAAAATGACCATACTGCACACAGCAATCTACAGACTCAATGCAATTCCTATCAAAATACCACATCATTTTTCAAAGAATTAGAAAAAATAATCCTAAAATTCACATGAAACCAAAAATGAACCCAACTAGCTAAAGCAATCCTAAGCAAAAAGAACAAATCTAGAGGCATCACATTACTGGACTTCGAGTTATACTACAGTGCTGTAGTTACCAAAACAGCATGGTATTGCTATAAAAGTAGGCACCTAGCTCAATGGGAAAGAATAGAGAACACAGAAATAAAGCCAAATACTTAAAGCCAACTGATCTTCAACAAAACTTACAAAAACAGAAATGTAAAGGACACTCTATTAACAAATGGTGCTGGGAAAACTGGCGAGCCACATGTAGAAGAATAAAACTGGATCTCTATCTCTCACCTTGTACAAAAATCAACTCAAGATGGATCAAAGACTTAAATCTAGGACCAAAACCCATAAAACTTCTAGATGATAACCTTGGAAAAACTCTTCTGGACATTGGCCTAGACAAAGAATTCATGACTAAAACTCCAAAAGCAAATGCAACAAAAACAAAAAAAAAATGGGACCTAATTAAATTAAAAAGCTTTGGCCAGGCACGGTGGCTCATGCCTGTAATCTCAGCACTTTGGGAGGCCGAGGCGGGTGGATCACAAGGTCAGGAGATTGAGACCATCCTGGCTAACACAGTGAAACTCCGTCTCTACTAAAAATACAATAAATTAGCCAGGCGTGGTGGCGGGCACATGTAGTCCCAGCTACTCGGGAGGCTGAGGCAGGAGAATGGCAGGAACCCAGGAAGCAGAGCTTGCAGTGAGCCAAGATCATGCCACTGCACTCCAGCCTGGGTGACAGAGCGAGACTCTGTGTCAAGAAAAAAAAAAAAAAAAAAAAAAAAAGCTTCTGCACAGCAAAAGAAATAATCAGCAGAGTAAACAGACAACCCACAGAATGGGAGAAAATATTTGCAACTATACATTTGACAAAGGACTGGTATCCAGAATCTACAAGAAACTCAAACAAATCAGCAAGAAAAAAATAATAATCCCATCAGAAAGTGAGCTAAAGACATGAATAGACATTTCTCAAAAGAAGATACACAAATGGCCAATAAACACATGAAAAAAATGTTAAACATCATTAATCATCAGAAAAATGCAAGTTGAAACCACAGTGAGATACCACCTTACTCCTGCAAGAATGGCCGTTATTAAAAAGTCAAAAAACAATAGACATTGGCATAGATGTGGTAAAAGGGGAATACTTATACACTGCTGATGAGAATGTAAACTAGTACAGCCTCTGGAAAACAGTATGGAGATTTCTTAAAGAACTAAAAGTAGATCTACCATTCAATTCAGCAATCCCAGTACTTGGTACCTACCTATATTTGTCTGTTCTTTCTTTGCTATTAAGAACTACCTGATACTGCGTAATTTATTTTTTTAAAAAAGAGGTTTACTTGGCTCATGGTTCCAAGGCTTTACAGGAAGCATAGTGGGGGAGGCCTCAGAAAACTTATAATCATGGCGGAGGGTGAAGAGGAAGCAGATACCTCTTCACATGGGAGAGCAGGAGAGAGAGAGGGTGAATGGGGAAGTGTTACACACTTTTAAACCACCAGATCTCATGAGAACTATCATGAGAACAGTAAGGGAGAAGTCGGCCTCCATGATTCAATCACATCCCACCAGGTTCCTCCTGCAACAATGGGTATTACAATTCAACAAGAGATTTGGGTGGGGACACAGAACTAAACCATATCATTCCATCCCTAACCCCTCCCAAATCTCATGTCCTTTTCACATTTCAAAACACAATCATGCTTTCTCAACAGTTCCCCAAAGTCTTAACTCATTTCAGCACTAACTCAAATGTCTACAGTCCAAAAGAGCCTGTACCTGTACCCTTTTGTGTATGAGCCTATAAAATCAAAAACAAGTTAGTTACTTCCAAGATACAATGGGGGTACAGGCATTGGGTAAATGCTCACATTCTAAAAGGGAGAAATTTCCCAAAACAAAAGGGGTGTATGCCCCATCCAAGTCCAAAACCCAGCAGGGCAGTCATTAAATCTTAAAGCTCCAAAATAATTTCCTTTGACTCCATGTCTCACATCCAGGCAACACTGATGCAAGGAGTTGGCTCCCAAGGCCTCAGGCAGCACTGCCCCTGAGGCTCTGAAGGTAACAGCTTCTGTGGTGACTGCTTTTATGGGCTGGTGTTGAGTGCCTGAGGCTTTTCCAGACACATGGTGCAAGGCGTGAGTGGATCTACCATTCTGGGTTCTGGGGGATGGTGGCCGTCTTCTCACAGCTCCACCAAGCAGTGCCCTAGTGGGGACTCTATGTGGGGGCTCCAGCCCCAAATTTCCCCTCTGCACTTCCCTAGTAGAGGTTCTCCATGAGGGCTCCACCCCTGCAGCAGACATCTGCCTGGACATCCAGGCATTTCCATACATCCTCTGAAATCTAGGTGGAAGCTCCCAAGCCTCAACTCTTGCCCTCTGCATACCCACAGGCTTACCACCAAGCGAAAGCTGCCAAGGGTCAGGGTTTACACCCTCTGGAGCAGCTGCCTCAGACATATTTGGGCCCTTTTAGTCATGGCTAGAACTGCAGTGGCTGGGATGCAGGGAGCAGTGTCTTGAGGTTGGTCAGGGCAGTGGGGCTTAAGGAAGTGGGACACCCAGACCCTGGGGCCAGCCTGCAAAATCATTCTTCCTTCCTAGGCCCAGCTTGAATTACTCCTGAGAAAATGGGTTTTTCTTTTCTACCACTTGGCAGGGCTGCAAATTTTCCAAACTTTTACACTCTGTTTTCCTTTTAAATATGTTTCAGTTTCAGATTATCTCTTTGCTCACAAATATAAGCTTATGCTGTTAGAAGCACTCAGGTCACATGTTGAATGCTTTGCCACTTAGAAATTTCTTCTGCCAGATACCCTAAATCATCATTCTCAAGTTCAAAGTTCCACAGATCTCTAGGGCAGGGGCACAATGCCTAGAACCTCTTTGCTAATGAATAACAAAAGTGACCTTTGCTCCAATTCCCAACAAGTTCTTCATCTCCATCTGAGACCACCTCAGCCTGGACTTCAGTGTCCATGTCACTATCAGCATTTTGATCACAACAATTTAACAAGTCTGTGGGAAGTTTCAAACATTCCCTCTTCTTCCTGTCTTCTTCTGAGCCATTCAAACTGTTCCAACCTCTGCCCATTACCAAGTTACAAAATTGCTTCCACATTTTCAGATATCTTTATAGCAATGCCTCTCTCCTGGTACCAATTTTCTGTATTAGTCCATTCTCACATTGCTATAAAGAACTACCTGAGAATGGGTAATTTATAATGAAAGAGGTTTAATTGGCTCATGGTTCCACAGGTTGTACAGGAAGCATGGCTGGGGAGGCCTCAGGAAACTTACAATCATGGTGGAAGAAGAAGGGGAAGCAGGCACGTCTTCACATGAGGAAGCAGGAGAGAGAGGGCAAAGGTGGAATGCAACACATTTTTAAACAACCAGATCTCATGAGAACTCACTATCATGAGAACAGCAAGGGGGAAATTCACCCCCATGATTCAATCACCTCCCACCAGGCCCTTCCTCCAATGCTTGGGATTACAATTCGACATGAGATTTGGGTGGGGACACAGAGCCAAACCATATCACTATTCAAAGGAAAAGACGTTATTATATGAAGAAGACACATGCACACGTATTTTTATTGCATCTCAGTTCACAATTGTAAAGATGTGGAACCAACGTAAGTGCCCATCAACCAGTGGGTGGATAAAGAAAATGTGGTATACATACAGCATGGAAGAGTACTCAGCCATAAAAAGGAATAAAATAAAGTCTTTTGTAGCAACTTGAAGGGAGCTGAAGGCCATTATTCTAAGTGAAGTAACTCAGGAATGGAAAACCAAATACCATATTTTCCCACATATAAGTGGGAGCTAAGCTATGAATATGCATAAGCATACAGAGTGTTAAAACGGATTTTGGAGATCCCAAAAAGGGAGGGTAGGAGAAGGGTGTGGGATTAAAAACTACATATTGGGTACAACATACACTACTTGGGTGATGAGTGCACTAAAATCTCAAAATTCACCGCTGTATAATTCATCCATATAACCAAAACCCACTTGTACCCCCAAAAGCCATTGAAATTTTTTTTAAAATGTTTAAAAAAAGGAAGAAAGACACAAGGTAGGCATTCTTTAAATGTGGAAAGAATGGCTAAGGGAAGCAAGAATAATGTGAGAATAAGCACAGAGTAGCAGTGAATGTGGTATACATAGGGAAAAGTGAAGGAAAAGGGTGTCCAGAGACGCGGGCTCTCTGTACTGATTGTGCGGAAACCGGAGTTAACTCACAATTTTCAGTGGCACTAGCACTGTCAAGTGCTTTGTTTGTTGTTTGTTTTTTCACCCAAGAAAGGAAGATGTTCAGACTACAGATTGTGGTCAAGAAATTATATATTTTAGGTGAACAAACAGCGAGGTTTGGACATGAAGGAAGGCACATACACTGCACAGAGAAACAGCTCTTCCCAACTCTAAAATTTAGACGTTTATTTGGGAAATTTTGTTGGGCAGTCTAAATGCAGGAAGATTAAAAAGGACTTGGAAAATCAACAGGGTATCCTGCCTTCATGATGCTGTGAGGCATTGTGCCCCAGAGTGAAAACTGCATTTTTGTGAGTTGGTGTGGCAGGCTTGGAATACCACCTCTTTCAGCAGCTCACTCAGGTCTGGCGAGGGCTATTTGTACCTCAACGAGGGCTTCTCTCCAAGAAAGCCCTGAATCCTTTTCCTCCTTTTTCCTGCAGATTCACTATAGGACACTTTTTGAAGCAAGAGCATGCATTTTCCCCCTGGCGCTCTGCAGCGGTTCTCAGAGCCCAGTGTCACTCACATAGGTGGGACTGCTCTCAGTTCAGAGAGCGCTGGGACACTTAAGATGAAAAGTCCCTGGAAGTTAGCAAACAGCCATCTGTCACTCTGGCATCGATTTACTAAAAGTGACTTCTAGGGTATTCTAAACCACTTTTAAAAAACAAATGAGTCACTTCGACTTCCTCACCCCGCAAGAGATAGGAAGGCAGCAGTGGAGTGCTCGCTCAGGAGCTGTATTTGTTTAGCGATTAGCCTAGAGCTTTGATTTTAGGGCAAAAGCGAGCCAGACAGTGCGGCAGACGTAAGGATCAAAAAGGCCACCTATCATTCGCCGGGGACGCCTGCCTCCTTACCCTGATAACGTAACTATTTCTCTGCATAGGATTTTAGTTTTTGTGTTTTTGTTTTGTTTTATTCTGTTTAATCACTTCAAGTATCTCATCCATTATTTGAAGCGGGCTCGGAGGAAACGTGCCGCATCCTCCAGTCCTTGTGCGTCTGTTTAGGTCTCTCCGAAGCAGGTCCCTCTCGACTCTTAGATCTGGGTCTCCAGCACGCATGAAGGGGTAAGGGTGGGGGGGTCCCCTATTCCGGCGCGCGGCGTTGAGCACTGAATCTTCCAGGCGGAGGCTCAGTGGGAGCGCCGAGAACTCGCCAGTACCGCGCGCTGCCTGCTGCCTGCTGCCTCCCAGCCCAGGACTTGGGAAAGGAGGGAGGGGACAAGTGGAGGGAAAGTGGGGCCGGGCGGGGGGTGCCTGGGAAGCCAGGCTGCGCTGACGTCACTGGGCGCGCAATTCGGGCTGGAGCGCTTTAAAAAACGAGCGTGCAAGCAGAGATGCTGCTCCACACCGCTCAGGCCGCGAGCAGCAGCAAGGCGCACCGCCACTGTCGCCGCTGCAGCCAGGGCTGCTCCGAAGGCCGGCGTGGCGGCAACCGGCACCTCTGTCCCCGCCGCGCTTCTCCTCGCCGCCCACGCCGTGGGGTCAGGAACGCGGCGTCTGGCGCTGCAGACGCCCGCTGAGTTGCAGAAGCCCACGGAGCGGCGCCCGGCGCGCCACGGCCCGTAGCAGTCCGGTGCTGCTCTCCGCCCGCGTCCGGCTCGTGGCCCCCTACTTCGGGCACCATGGACACCTCCCGGCTCGGTGTGCTCCTGTCCTTGCCTGTGCTGCTGCAGCTGGCGACCGGGGGCAGCTCTCCCAGGTCTGGTGTGTTGCTGAGGGGCTGCCCCACACACTGTCATTGCGAGCCCGACGGCAGGATGTTGCTCAGGGTGGACTGCTCCGACCTGGGGCTCTCGGAGCTGCCTTCCAACCTCAGCGTCTTCACCTCCTACCTGTAAGTACTTCCCCACGTCACTCCGGGAGAGAGACTAAGAGGGGAAGGAAGGTTCGTCCAAGGCGAGGCTGGAGGCTCCTCGGCGCCCGCCTGCTCGTGGGGGAGGGGGGCGAGTTTGTCAAGGGCATCCTGGCCAGGCCTGTTAGGGCCCCCAGAGAAATGCACGTGTCTCGGGGAGTAGCGTGCCGGCACTTTCTGGACCCGCAGAGAAATGGCTTCGAGTGCAACCCGGGAAAGCGCTGCTGCGCCGCAGCTTCCCAGTCCAGCGCTAGAAACATCGCAGGGCGAATTCCTGCAAATGCAGGCATTTGCGTGCGGAGTGGACATTTGTGACCCAGAGCCTGGTACCCAAAGGCAGGCTGCCATCTGGTCCCCGCCCCAACCGCCTCTCTGCGTCTAGTCGCATTCCACGAAAAGATGGTCTGTAGAAAGTTTCCCCAAAGGAGAAACAACTTGCCCAGCTCCAAAGGGTTTTTAGTCTGCATCCCTTGCACTGTGACGTGATGTAACCTTTTTGGGGTTTTTTCCTCTTTTCCTCCCTTCCTTCCTCCCTTCTTCCTTCCTTCCCTCCCTCCTTTCTTTTTATTTTCTTTCTTTTTTAACGGCGTGATTAAAATGTGGCAACCACAAACCCCGATTAGAGCTGCCAGAACGTTATCTTTACCTTTGGCTGCCCGCGCCGCCCTTTGAAGTGCCCGCGGCCGCTGTGTAATCTTTAACCATCTCTTCCCCCGGGGAGGAAAGGGGAAGTGGGCTGAAGGCTGTTGGGCTGGTAAACAGCGGCACCGACACCCAAAGGGAGACCTGAAGCTCTCTATCATCCCTGGGGGATTCTCCCACCCCTTCTCTCCCCACTGCAACTTCCAAAGCCCTGAGGCGGCGGCTCATTGCGTAATTTTTTCTGTGGAAAACCCAGGCCCGAAGGTAACAGGTAGTTGGGTGAACGCGGTGACCCAGGAGGAACCCTATTCTCGGAGACCAAGGCGACTACTCTCTCCACCCCCGTGCAAAGCATCTGGGGCTTCATTCCTTCCAGCAGAGAGGCCAGGTTCTAGGCCACTCTGGGAAACAGGTGCTCCTTACCACAAGGTGAAACATTTAGGTTTTAGATCAAGACATTGCAGCGAGCCCACCCCAAGCCCATGCAGTCCCAGTTTTCGGCTTCTCTGATGTACCTTGGCAGGAGAGAGTTGGGATGTTTGTGAACCAGTTCTTCCATCTGTTTAGTTGTTTTCTGGAGGGAAGAAACATGAAGAGGCTTGCACAACATTTTCCACTAGGTAGTGATTCTTTTTCTGGAGACAGAGTGAGGAAGAAAAAAACATCTTTTACTTGCTTTAATATTGTCTTTAAAGAAAGGTACCATTCTGCTAGATTTTAGGATTGGTAGATGGCAGGTCGCCTCCTCCTCTACCATAAAGCTATTTTGACTGCTTTTTCTTTTTTACCTGAAAGAATGTTAAAACTGTTTCCCCACCAGGTTTCCCTTCAATTGCACTCGTGCATGTGGTAGTGATATCGTTCCAGGAATGGAAATCTCTCCTAAATGATCACGCTCTCAGAATTCACATTTCCTCCTCCTGAACAGCTATCTCTACTACAAAGCAGAATACTCATCCCCAACCACTCTAGTTTAACTGCTAAAGTCAGTGTTGCAAGGATCCCGCGCTCTCCAATGCAGTGAATTTCTGAGACCAGTTTGGCAATTTTGCTTGGCAGCCTATAACTCCTCTTCCCCATCACCCTGAAGAAGTTTGACTGTATGCAAGGGAGGTGTGCAGTACCCCCAGACACTTAACTTACTATTTAAATCATACATTCATTATAAAATATGTTTAAGGATACAGAAAATAAGCTTATGAATAGTTCCAGATTGCTTGCTTCTCTCACTTGAAAGAACAAACATTTGTTAGGCTTCCGTTACTAAAAGTTGGCATAAAATTCTGCTTTAAACCATTTCCCACATACCTCAAATGCATTTAACTGTGTCCTCCATGTGCTCAGGGGAACTTACTGCCACCTACTGCCAATGTTCCCTATCTATCTATAGATAGAACAATCTATCTATCTATATTATAGATAACCTCTTGAAGTTAAGATACTATTAGGAAATTAAGTGCCATATTATTCTCATGTGATGACAGCCTGTACCCTGGCCTAAGAAGACATTTTCCCAGTGCCCTGTGAAATATTAAACTCAGAGTATCTGTAAAAAGTGATACAGTAAATGTTAAATACTTATTTCTAATGCAACACAGTTCAGGGAATATGAGTGCTGAATATAGAAGTCAGTCCTGAAGTAAATAAGCAATGTGGTGTTCTTTATAATGTGTGATTTCATAATTTGGTGTCCCTATATACTAAAAAATGCCAGGGCCCATGGGATGCCCTTTGAGCAGGTATTGAGGGTTTGGGGGCTTTGTTGGTTTCTTACAACCAGAGGAACGCTGTGCAGACATTAAGGGTAGATGATGCCCTCTTTTGGTTACACCTAGTATTCTCTGACCATTTCTGTCTTCACTTGTGCAGCCAAAACATAAAAGAGGAATTTTGATTTATTCATATTCAAATAAATGAGTATGTGTTCTACTGATTTTCTTATTTGAAGGAATAACTTCCCTTTGATGTTGAAAGGGAACACAAAGTTATAGCTCCACTCCACTGGGGCCCAGTAGAAATTAAGCCTTGATGAAAAAGTTGCAGTGTACCAAGACTGATGTGGTAAAAAGCCAGAACTACTATCTTTTATTATTTGTAAGAGGTTATCATCATTTATTTAGTCAAAATGTTATCACCCAATCCCCTTCAAAAAAAGAACAAGCATTTCCTTTTCTTCAAACAGATTGATGATGGCAAGTTCCAGCTGTACACATTTGGCAAGTAGCTGTACACATTTACCACAATCTGAGAGCTGGCTAGTCAGACTTGTAGGTAAAGAAAGTTTCCTACATCTCTTCACAGAATGCAAACACTATTTATGTGCCATTTTGTAATCTTTTTTTCCCAGAAAAGCAAAATTTTAAGCCAGTGCAAATATTAATATTGATTCTCTTTTCTTACTGAGCTGCCTTCCACAGTAGGTCTTTAACTGGACCAATAAACCGAGTGAAAACGCTGGAAAAATCTCAGTCTTCATCTCTTCTCTCCCCCTGCTGCCCCAGCAAGTGGTTATGGGCTCTGATTTTACTAACAGGGGCTAATAAAGTTTACTTAGCAGAAAATAAGGAACGCACCAAGGTTGAGATATAAAAGCAGACAATAATGGTTTACAACATTTAATACCAGTTGTGATCTGTCCTAAATAAAGTAGTTCTAACATCTAATCTTAGTATAGGTAAGTTATTTTAATGCATCAAATGTGGACATTTTTATTAATAGGGTCTTAAAAGTAAACTCCTCTCTGCTACTTTGATGTGTCTGTCTAGTTAGTGTGACATTCAGATAGAAAACTGAATCCTAATGAAGATCCTAATATAATAAATATACTTTTCTTTATTGGTCCAGAACAGCTATTTTATTTTAAAAAGAAAACTGAATTTTTCTTTGCTGTTCCTTAAAGGCATTCACATTTCATCCACAAGCAAATGTATGTTATATAAACCAAAGGGACCAAGAGAAAAGATTTTTTTTTTTAATTATATGTAGTTTGGTTACTTTTTCATATGTAACTTTGAAACAAAATTTAATTTTACACATAACTCCTAAAACTAATGTTAATAAGAATGGAACAAAAGCCACAATTAGTTAAATCAGGCACCGCCTTAATATCATAAATGTGTTTTAAGTGTTTAAGATGCAGTTTCAAGATGAAAGATCCTTTTTAGGATCTTCTTTGAAAATGAGTTAATATAGTTCTGCTTCTCTTATCTTAAATAAAAGAAAATGTACTTTAGAAATGATTACAAAAATAGTAACTCTTATAACAGCCTTAACATTTAGATCAATTACAAACATTATACAGTTTGCTCTAAAATGTACTTTTAGAATTGTTTAAAATATAATGATGCCAGTAAATTTTCTTCATTTTAATGAAGTTCTTTCTTTTTCTCCAGGATTCCTGGGGATTTTTTCCATAGTGTTTTTGTTATAGGGTGAATTATTAAAACTAACTGATAATTAGTCTAAGTAATTTTTTAAAGTAGTGAGCTCATTCAAACAATTTTGTGGCATAAATTTAAAATAAATATTTACTGAATATATTTAACATATGCATGGCAGAGTTGGTGTGACAAGAATGAATTTTTACATATAATAAACATGATCTTCAGTTTTTTTCTTTCTTCCTTATGCATTTTCCTCAAAGTAAAGGAGTTCTGATGTAGCAACAAAAGGTAGCAATCATAAATGAGTTAGAAGATCGGAATCAAGAAATAGCCTGTGTAGTTAAACAACATCATGTTTTGATAATAGACCAGTCACACTTGGGTGTGTTTAAAGAAGTTTAGAAACACAAAACTGGTCTATGATTTCTGAGAGTTAAGTATTTTATCTGAACTATTTTATTGTTTTCAGTTTTCAAAATATATATCTATCAAAGGCATAGAAATTTCAGACCAAACAATTAACCCAATAAAGCTATCAAAATTAAAGACATTATAGAATATTTATAATTTTATAACTGATACTTAATTTTGACTTACCTTAGCAAAGCATTTTTTTATATTTCTTCTATCAAATTCATGGATTTAAGTCATTTTAGC
This sequence comes from Homo sapiens, assembly GCF_000001405.40. NCBI lineage: Eukaryota > Metazoa > Chordata > Mammalia > Primates > Hominidae > Homo > Homo sapiens. The sequence goes on from NC_000012.12 coordinate 71,444,993, forward strand.
TACAAATTTAAGTATGTTTCTGAATGATCTAAATCACAGGCCATAAGACAGAAATGAAAAACAGTAGTGGGTTGTCCAATGAGCAATTTTGTGAAGTAATGTTTTTGTTTGGTTCAGTTATTATGCAAATTTAGAATAAAGCTAAATGGCACATTTTCTTGTAAACACTTCCTCAATAGATACTTCTGGTAAACTGAAGTCTTCATGAGAAGACAAATTCCTTCCTATAAGATTCAAATTCCTCACTCCAGTTGCAATATTTTCCTTTATAGAGCCTCATTTTGTAGTAGAGAGATGAATCAGACTGGCACTAAAGCCACAACTGGTATATTACAAATAAAACAAAATGAGCTGAGTATCTAGTCCTGTTGCTATTTTTGATGTATCTTGGTAGAATTTCACTTGTTAAATCGGCCCATGAGTTCTAGCCCACTGCAACTCTTTCATTCCCAGATCTGTCAGCTTTAATCCACACTTTAATTTAACCATTGTAAATAACCAACTACATGCCCAATTTCACCTATGGAACTCTATGCCAAAAGGAGACATTTCATAGTCTATAATGTGGAATTTTTAATTAAATTCTCATAATTCAAAACTGATTTTGTTATCCATAAGTTATATGGTGGGAAGCAGGTCCGTTCCTAAAATCTGTGGCATTTTTCTGTTTAATGGATTAAGCCCAATGGGAATGCCTGGCTTGAAACTGGAACGGAGAAAAACGTTAGTCATTTGATTTCAAGAAATGGAATAATGTATCTAGTGGTAATGCTAAAAGGCTCTTAACAGGATGTTAGCATTAGTGGAAAACTATTCAAAAGATGTTTCATAAGCAGAAGTGCTTCCGTATATCCTCATGTATTACTTCTCTTTTTAATGTTTAAGTCTGGAATTGGAGACGCTGAGATTTACTTGGAGAGTATGCAAAGGAACCAACTCCTGACCGTGTAAACAACTTCCTGAAAGTCAGATGGAATAACACCCTAGGGTTTCATGGTGGGCTCTTTCCTTCAGGGCTTATTCTTCTTCTTTGGCTGTGAGCTCCTCCAGGGTAGGGCATTTTCCACTTTATACCCCAAGTGCCCATACCAATGCCTGGCTCTTAAGGGAGTTCAGTAAATACCAGTAATGTTGAATTGAGTAGAATTGGCTGAACCAGCTGCTGAAATCCCAGTGGCTAATAGGAGTCAGAGAAAGACAGGTGAGAACTACTAGTCCGCAAGTACAAACAACACAAGGCCACTGGCCACAATTATTGTCCAGCCCCATTTGAAATACAGCTGAATTGTGTTCAGTTTAAATGATGCAATGAGTTGTTTATTTTAACACATGCCATGATTTACATGTATAAATTACTTTATTATTGTAATAGCAATAGTCATAATAACTGATAGTTGTATTGTGTTTCCTAAGTGTTCGGCACTAAATACTTCACTCAGTCATAGGCCCCACAAAGATACTAAATACTTTACTCAGTCAATACCCCCCTTGTGGTGGGGCAACTTGTGACGTTAGGAATGATAATAGTACCTCTTATTAGGTAAGCTTACTGTAAGCTTATTTCAAGTATTTCCATTGCTCAAAATATTTTTGGATTTCCTTTGAAGTTATCTTCAGGGCCAGTTTACAGCAACCCAAGAAAACAGGCTTTCCAATTTATACTTATGCCTTGTAATCATTTTAATTGGTGCTGAAATGTTTTGGCCCATTTTTCTTTTCAGGAACACAATTTATGAAGCCCTAATACCAGAAATATTTTTTCAGGGAATTCCAGAGCAAAATGCAGTTTTCAATTTTCCAATAATGTGAGCATTACATTATATAGTTTAGGGCCAATATTACAAATTTAGTAGACATCTTTTTATATATCCATTTTCTTACTACCACAGAAACAATTTTTCTTGTCTTCAAATCAGAGATAAGTTGCAGTAGCTGCCAGAGTATTGTGAAGAGGGATCAATAGATTAGTAACCACCTAGGCAAGAATAAAACTTTTTTCCTATAACCAGATCTATGTGTCAAATTAAGTAGCTGCATTCTTTGGAACTATTTCTCAGTTCAGACAGACATGAACTTTCTTAACAGGCAAATTCTATTTGAGCTTGTATTCACCTTTAAAATGGATGAGATGCGATACATTGTTGTCACGAAGGTATCAGAATGTTATTCATTTGATTCACAATAGAAAATTGTTTCAAAGTTTTATCAAATCCCCCAACATATTTTTAAACTTTGCATGCTTTGACAATTAGTGATACAGACTTATGTGTCAATTAGAAATCTGCATAAGTCATAGAAAAGTCCCCTCCTTCAAATAATGAAAAACCTTTTCTGAACTATGCATTTAATTTCCTCAGTCCCTTGATTCAGCTTATTAACCTGATATACATTAATCATTTATTGTATTACAAAGTCAACAGAAAAAACAGTACTGATGTTTAGAAAAATTAGGATATGTTTGGGGTACAGTCTCTAGAATGTTTTAAAATAGTACTCTCATACTCCAGCTTTTTACTGACTTAACAATTTATTCAACAATCTCTAATTTTCAAATGTCCTATTTTTTCTATATGCACATTTTCCACACACTCATTTTATCCTTCTTGCCTTCAGAAGGAGTGTTTGCTTCTTCTTCAAACAAGGACTGTGATGGCCAAGGGGGAAGAAAGTGTCTCGTGCACACTAATACACACACCAACAAGAAACAATTCCCTTTGTGCCACTTGCTTGGCAGAAATGATACAAACATTGGCAGGGCATAGCCGTGAAGGGCCGACCCTTTACAAGGGAGAGACTGTGGAACTGGCTGCTTGAAGGCACCTTCAGTTCGGTTCAGAAACTGAAATGCAGAAGACAATCGTCCTGGCAAAGGGAGCCCAACTCCAGCTGAGAACGCGTGCATGGAGCTGACCTCCCTCCTCAGCCTGCCAGGCGAAATTAAGCTTTCCTCAAGTGGTCCCTTGTTAGCCTGTCCTTTTTTCCGTGTTGCTCATCTTTCACAACTAGAAGCCAAGTGTTTCAAACTGTTCCTCAGTTTGCAGCCAAATTCCTTTATTTCCCCCTTCCTCCTCGTCTCCCTCACACACACACAAACACACACACACACACACACACACACACAAACTGTGGTGACTAACCTTACATGCGTGCCTTCTTTTCAAAGCCTACACTGAGAAAATAACCTTAGAATTTTTAAGTTTCACTGAAACACTGGTAAATACTTTTGTTCTCCTTTTTTCTTGAAACCTTGATTAAGTGGAGCAGAGACCTCTACAAAAGATGTCGATTTGTAAAAATAACCTTTCTTTAATCAAAAAAGCCACAAAAGTGTACTTCTCAGGAAAGTAGAAAACCACACATGATCTCAAGTGGAAAAAATATAAAGAATTTGCTGAATTTTTAACCTTAGTACATAACAAGGATATTATTTTAAAGTTGGTTGGTTAATGTGGGCTGTGTTAGAACTTCCAATGTGTTGTGTTTGGGTTGATGCAATGTTATTTTAATGAGTTTATTGGTTCGATGCACAAAACACCACATGGTGCTTGAAGGTTTTAGGTTATAAATTTTCTCGTGAGGCACTTACTTGAAGGAACTCTGTTACATAATCAATTGGTCTTTAAATCTATCCGCACAAAATACAACCTTTCAGTTTTTTACATATATGGTTGTTATTATGTGATTATGAAAACCAAATAAAAATTTCCATAGAAGATGTTATATTCCTTAATGAACTATTTTGTATATATATTGAAGTTTTCACAATAAACATTTATTTCACAGTATTTGTTGAGTGAATCTACAAAGTGAATTTGGAGTCTTCTAGTAAAGACTGAGAATAAAGGATCTTCCTCTTTATTTTGTCTTTGTACTTCCTGTCCTGAAGGGACCCTTAGCAGACATGCCTGCATTTGGCAATAGGCCTACTCTATCATTGTTACAGTGTTAACTGTACAATAGAGAAAAGCCTAGAAAAAGAATGGCAAGAGAGGTGGAAGGGCTAATGGAAGAAATTTGCGACCCAAGGGACAGTGCTGACGGAACTGAGAGACTGTGAGTTACTGGACTCCACTAGACACCTGTTCCCAGGGGATACGCTTCTCCTGTGTCTCTCTTTGCCTTTCTCCATCCCTCGCTTCAAGATAGTATCAGAGAACTGAAAGGATGCCTTTTCCTTATCTCAGACACTTTTCCCACCAAGGGCGTCAAACTAGAAGATGAAGGGAAGTTTAGAAAAAAGAGTCCTTGGGATTTAAGTATCAACTCCAGTCACCAAAATTGGGGTCTCTGATTTTAATTTGGAAAAGCTACATTACTGTTCCTGTGGTGGAAGATCTTAACTCATGCGCAGCCCCTGTTCTTCAGCAGCTGTTGTTCTCTGGGACTCAGTGCAATATAGTACAGGAGGAAGTTCAAGATCTTTTTTTATTGAGTCTTCAAGCTTGGGTAGCAAAAGGAAATCCTAGTTAAACCAGATTCTCCCAGGATGTGAGCATATCTCATTTGAAGATCTTAAAAGGTCTAGCGGCATGATTAACTGACAGCAAGTGTCCACCTTCCACCTCCCAGCTGCTGGCCTTCCAGGAAAACATCTACTTCCCTAGAGTCTGATAGTCATAAGTGTTAGGTAGATATGTTCTGGTCCTGAATGACTACTACATAGTAATTTGAAGCCCTCTTTGCCTTAGCTGTATGAACATTTCAGAATATAATTAGTTGTATATTACAAAGGAAAGCAAATTTGGGGAGATTTATGTTAATTATAATAAACTTAATTTAGAGCTTGAGCTAATACCTAACTACATTTAGAGTAAGTTCTGTGAAGAACTAAAAGGACAATCTTTTATCCACAAATTACCAGAATGACTAAGCTGTATATCTAAGGTCACATTACACAATGCAAGACTGAAATTTAATCGTGATTGCTAGAGCATTACCCTAATTGCCCAAATAAACAGAATTAAAATCACTTAGATGGGTTACAAAGGATTTCAGTGCATCAAAAGCTATGGCTACCCAGGGAATTTAGAATGGGAAGAACCTTGGAATTTACCTAATCCAACGTCTTTATTTCATAGATGATGAAATTTTATATTCATAAGGGGTTAATGACATTCTGAAAATCACGCAGCTAGCAAAGACAGAATTGGACTCCAGATCTCCTGAAAACCCCAGCCCAGTACTACTTCTTGGTCACCTTTATATTTCAATGTCAAATACTCGAATGAACTCAAAAACTCCCAGTTACTTTTCCAGATGTTGCCAAATAGCCCGTTGTTTACACATGTTGTGTATGTCCATATCTAGATATATACCTGAATTTTAACAATATCATCTTATTTTGATCCACTGTAAATACAGACACAGTGTCTCTGTATTACCTAAAAATCTGCAGAGCAAAAAGGAACACTCAGATTTAGTTTGAAGAATAATTAAGCATAATTAATTCCCCAAATGTCTGTTCATAGTTGTCATTTACTTCTTTTTTCTTTTTTTGGTAAAAATGGGAGTATGGCTATGTTGCCCAGGCTGGTCTCGAACTCCTGGCCTCAAGTAATTATCCACCTCAGCCTTCCAAAGTGCTGGGATTATAGGCAGTAGCCACCAGGCCCAGCCTCTGTTCATAGTAGTTAAATATGTGATTATTGTAATTAAAATTTCATTTATGACTTTATTTGATCACATTTTGGTTGCCTTAATGTCTCTTCTAACTGTTCTCTTTCTCTTCTAGCAGTGACATTGCACTAGTCCAGGGTCTACTCACTTTTTTCCTGGATGACTGTAGCAGTTTCCTGTCATGGTCTACGTAGACCTCGAACACATACGCACACACTCCCTACTATCCTGCTACTCTCTTCAAGATGCACCTCTGGTCATGTCTTACCTATATTCAATCCTTCAATGGTGTCCTGTGATTTCATAATAACTTTGAACACCTCAGTTTAGCCCACAAAGCCAACTTTTTTTACCTCATCCCTAACCTGCAACCCCTGCTGCCAATCCCCCCTCCCTAGCTCCCTGTTAAAAGAAAAACCTTAGGCAAATTAAACTTAACAGAGTTTAATTGAGCAAAGAACAAATTGGGCAGCCCCCAAACCAGAATAGGTTCAGAGAGATTCTGGCAATGCCATGTGGTTTGAAGATTTATGGACAGAAGAGGGAAAGTGAAGAACAGTGAATGGAAGTGGGGTGCAGATCAGATGGGTTGATTACAGCTTGATGTTTGCCTTATTTGAACAGAGTTTGAATAGTTAGCCATCTTTGATTGGACAAAACTCGATGCTTGGGACAAGAGGAGGTTACAGTCTCTTTTCACATCCAGTTAGGTTGCAGCTTACAATGTATGGAGGAACTTTTAGGCCAAACTTAGAATATGTAGAGATAGCTTTAGTCTGAATTTAACACCCCAAGCTCTCTTCTCTCCAGCCATTTCAAACTGCATCTTACAATTTCCCTATTTCATGCCTCCAGGTGTTCACATGTGTTGCCATCTGCTGGGATTGCCTTTCTTCTTTTGCTAACCTCTATGAGTCTTTCCATACTCAGCTCAAATGTCACCTCCTCTGGGAAGCTTTCTGTAACCCCACATTTTAGAAACCTGTCTTTGATGCTCCCACATCATGCTGAACCCACTTTGATCATAGTGCTCACCACACTTGATCACCATATTTCATCTACTTGTCCGTTTCTACTACTGGACTATATACCCCTTGAAAATTGGATCAGAACACAGAATTCTTGTATATTGACCATGTTTTTCATTTTCTCTATTTTATGGTGCTTTGACATCTTGGAGCCTTGCTGCTCCTAGAGAGACTGCCCCTCCTAGGGCTAGGGAATTCCTGGAGATAGCAAATGATTTTCTTGGGAGTGCACCTTTCATATGCAAACCAACCAATCCAAAACCCACAACCCCACAACCACTCCCTTTCCCAGGCTCTTTCAGGGCTCTTGACTCTAGGTCAATATTCTCCTGTTCTACTCACCCCAAGCTCAGATTTCAATAAATTGGGATAGCCCCTACATCCCACAGCACACTGAAACTATTCAACTAGCCAATCCTAAACCTGCTTACCCTGCCTTGTCCATTCCTTCCCGTGGAAACCACAATAAAGGACCTTGCCCATGCTTTTCTTCTGCTCCTTCTGTCTCCAGACTGAGCCCAGAGCTTTCCTGTGTGGCTCTGCATGGAATGGTGGGCCCTCTCCTCTTGGGAACTGTGAGTAACAAACTCCCTGTTTAATGGCAGTCACCTCCTGATCTGTTGGCCTCATCACACCTGAATAATATTAACACCTACATTTTAAAACACCCTGTGTCCATGCATGTCTGCATCTGGGCAACTTCAAAAGGGCACATAGCCCAGGCAGACTTGAAGGACAGTCAGCACAGTTTTCTCTCTGGAGGGCACTCTTCTGTTCCCCTAAACTCTACGTAAAACTCAAACTTTGTCCACATACCTAAGACATAAGATGCCATTTTCTAGCTACAAAATGTGCAACGGAGTGAGACTACTTGATATAATTTCTGATATAATCTTATAATGTGATGACAGAGAGATTCTTTCCTCTAAATTTGGCAGACTGATTGTTTGGAATATCCCAAGACAGAAGGAAAAAAATTCAAAAAGTGCTGTTGATGCTTTTACACGTAGTTCCTCATTTGACCCTCCTAACAAACAGTAAAATAGTTGTTACTATCAACATGAGAACATCTCTTGATGTTAGAAATGAGAACATTTCTTGATGACTATTTCAGCCTTATCTTCAGTGACCTTGACAAGTTACTCAATGCCTCAGTTTTCTCATATGTAAGATGGCAATAATAATGACATCTACCTGACTAAGTTGTTGTGAAGACTGGTGAGATAATGCACATAAAGCACTTTGCATGGCACCTTACTTGTGTAGGATGCATTAAATGTTAGGTGTAATTATTTCTGTTGATGATGGTGCAGTTATTATCACACTAAACTCATGCTTTTCAAGTATGCCATGTTGTCTGTTACTGTTATTCCCTAAATTAGCTAAATTAATTGCCCTGAATGTTTAAAAGTATAAGTGTAATTTTCATTAAACAAGATTTCTTAATGTTAAAAACAAGAAAAGAACGAAAAGAACAGCAGAAAGGCACCTACTAGGTAAAGAACTAGAGGAGAAAGAAGGGGCATCTTCAAATGAATTTGGCATCACCCAACAACTGTTATAAATAAAAATATTCTAACTTTTGTTTCTGATCCTTGGTATCAAATAGACAAAAGATTATGAGTTTTAAATGAGGTTTCATATTTGCACATGAGTATGTAGCATTTTGAAGACACTGCACAAATCTCCAGGATAGCTGAGGGCTGAGTGAACACTTTGTCACAGAGAGTAGGCTGATGGCACAATGTTAGGAGTCTACTCCTCAGATAGAATTTAATGAATGACCCAGAATTTGTAGTCCTGGGTTTGAATTGCTTTTATCCTTTCCTTTTTTTTTTTTTTTTTAATCTCATCCACCCTCATGACTTTTTCTGACTGTGAAAGAAAAATTCAGGTTGATAGCTTCTTGTGCTCTTAGAAGCACCAGTATCAGCCGTTGATTTGCTACAGTGGCAGGCAAGAGATGATGGATTTCAGGGGACTGAGAGAAGGTCGGGAATTCAACCTTCCTTCAGAGCCAAAAATACATTCAGGAAAACCCAAGATTTCAACACAACAAAAATGTGTTTCTTTTTTTTTTTTATATTAACTGAAAAAATAGTTCTACTTTAAGAACAAAAACTGATTTAAAGAATGGGCTTGTGTCTACCTGAAAATACATCCAAAATAATCTAATTTTCATGAGGCACCTCAGTACTCATCTTTGATAAGAAGCAGTTGGTTCAACATAATTGCAGGAAGGATCTTTCAGTCAGTGATGGCGATGAGGCTAATATCATTCCCTGAGAATAGTAGGTATCAATGATGTGACTCTGTGTAGGAGAGGGGATTCAAAGTTAAATAGGGGGTCAAAGTACCACTTGGACTTGTGTTTCAAGCAGGAAGCCTCTGGAATTAGGTCCAGTGATCCACAGGGGAGAAGAGAGCTAGGTGAGCAGTTCTTGGAGCAGACAGTCTTTTAATCCTATTGGATGAGCCTGTATTATTGTCTCTGCAGATGTTCTGTACCCTTCTGCAAAAGAGGCAAGCTGGCTTTTCCCATAACTGATGAAATCAAGAGAGCAGGTCTGGAAAAAACAAGGGAAATCTCCTTATATCTTACTACGTGTAAAAAGATGATTCTGGAATTCCCGAGTGCCTACTGAATTAATAAACCAGGAAGCTGATTTATTTTACCACTCTAAATCCAACATGGAAGAAACCGTCAGACATCTACTACATGTCATCCAGCAGTACAGATTGGAGAAGTAAACTCTGTCAGCCCACCTTTATCAAACAGTGTAAATAATCACCAAACCAAGGGAAGCAGAAGGCAGCAAAAGTCGAATAATTTCCAATGAAGAGTCAGAGGATCTCTCTCAGACAAAGGGAAATCCTTCAAGTGGAGAGGAGATGGTAGGAGGAAAGTGGCAGCCCAGAGGAGATGAGACTGTGGCAAATTAGAAAGAAATAAAACAATACCCAAAGGAACTCAAAGGAGAGGTGAAGTTCAAGTCAGGGAGAAGAGTAAGTCAAGAGGACTACCTGCCAAGCATAGCACAGAGCTTGGTTACTGGCTCCACTGTGGAGCTGGCTCACCCCATGGGTAGAGTACAATCCTTCGAGATCCACAAGGCACACACACACGTGCATAGACACAAACACACACACACACACACACACACAAACCCCACGGCCACATCTCTGCATATACACAAAAGAACAAGAAAAAAAAAACACTCATTGTGGAAATACCCTCAAAATCTCAAAATATATACCTAACCTATAGGATAAAGCAACCGGAATACTCCTGGGAACTGGGAAATGATTATCACTACGGTGCAGGGGAAAAAAAGCAAACAAAAAACAAAACCAAAAAAATGCAGGAGACTAGTACACTAGATTAGAAGTCCAGGTCTGTAGTTCTTAAACTTGCCAACACATTAGTTCCAACTGGGAGCTAATTTAACTATCTTAAAGTCCAGATCCCACATCAAACCAACTAAATCACAATTTCTGAGGGAAGGAGCTAGGCATCAGAATGTATTTAAACTCCCCAAGGCAAATTCAATATGCGACCGAGTTTGAGAACCACTGATCTGGGCCCAGCTACCCCACTAATCAGCCACAGAATCTCTGGCAAGATGCATATCCTCCCTGCCTCAATTTTTGTATCTGTAAAATAAGAGAGGTAAATACATGTTCTGAAGTCTCTCCTAATTCAGTCATTCTAGGAGTCTACCAGCTTGACATTGTGTGTATTGCAATAGGGCAGGTGTAGCAGGATTGTAGAAAATGGGAGGTTTCCACACACCCACACCCACTCCCATTTTGGGCAACAAATCTGGAAACATTGTTTACTCTCCTGCCTTGAGCATTATTTAAAATGACTTTATTTGTTTTACAGTTTACAGAGCCTCTGTAGGTAGCCTCAGGAGCCCATTCATTTCATTAACATTAAATCAACAAGCAGACCTTCTTTCTGCCTCTCTCTAGCAGGATTAATGGATTTTGGCATGATTTGTGCACCTAGCAGCAAAACCTCGTGCTGAGAAAGCTAGCAGGCTTGACTAATTCCCAGTAGTGCTAACTTCATAAACTTACTTTAAGCTTTTAACTTTGACTAAAGATTAAAGGTAATGACTGCACGCTGTTGTTTGGATGTATGATACTCAATATACACAAAAAATTATACAAAAATGACAAACTATTTGATAAATTAACATTGTATATATATGTGCATATAGATATGGTTTTTATGCTTATGAAAATACTCAATTCTGTATATATAAAAAGATCCTCTAAAACACTGAGAGATTTATGTAATAAATAACCATAGTAAATAGAGTATTGACAAATGTATTTGTAAATTGTAAGCATAAAAATTTATGGTTAGAATATTATAATATACTGATAGAAGACCCAGTTTCACATGATGGAACATTGACTATGAGAAATTTTCTAAGAAGCAAAATTTTTCTACTCTATGAGACCAGTTATCACCTATAAAGCATTCCCACACATGACTATGCTTATACTTTTTTATTCCAGTCTTACATTAAATTCAAATTTAGATAAGTCCACATAAAGACGGGGGAGAAAAGGAAAAAATACAATATTTCCAGCCCATCTGACAAGACTACATAAAAAGCTTTTGATCAAAGGGTCTTAAGTACACTTTACTGGTGTGACAAACAACATTTTTATCCCTTTATTAGATTTATTTTTCTTCTGAAAACTGCAGTGACCAGGGTATGGTTTGTGAAAGAAAGCTGGCAGGGTTGTGTTCTTTGATTCCTAATTAACACCTTCAGTCTCAAAAGAGAACCAACAGAAATACCATAAAATGTTGCAGCTGCATTGTGATTCCGCTTGGTTGGTTTGTTAAAAGTCGGCTGGGCATTGGCAGCTGCAATAAAGGGAAAGCTCAATGGATGTTTTGTATTGTGCCCACTGAAGTGAAAGAAGGCAACCATTTTATTTTTCAAATGGGCAGCTGCAGAGGGAGGTTTAAATGGAGCTAAATGCAAGATTTACTGTTAATTTATAGTAAATAAATAAAGAAAATAAAACCTAGCTTTCCAGTTTTTACAGTCACAGAACAGACATTTTAGCTAGAAATTATTAAGGACAATCATTTCAGAGCTTTTTAGCAACCAATTTGGGGAATTCGGCAACAAGGAATAGCATTCATTTAAAATCAAAATAGGCTTTTTGAAAGAGCTGAGCAAGCCAAAGCTTTAGAAGCTGACATTTCCACTTTGAAAGGTAAAGATATATCTTTCCTGTCTTGGGTAACGTAACTCCCTCGTCCCACTTTATTGAAACCCTAAAATTTGTTCAGATGGAAACTGAATAAGATTCCATACACCCCCATCTCACTTTTTTTTTAAGACCATGGAGTTGAATTTTGCCTATGGTAGGGGAATAAAGGAGGCATTTAACTTTGGTCAGATAAATCTCACTCACATTCAAAAATGCAATTAAGGAAATATGTAAATCTAGATGTTTCATCAAATGCTAGCTAAGGGGTTACTAGTTCTTTTCGAACACAATGACTGAACTAAAGAACTTTAGTGTCTGTGTAAGAACCATTGTCCAAGCCGCAGTCCCTGTTGGAAACAGAGTCCGGCCTGGCCGTGGGAAATACCTACATATTTGACACAGACCCTATTTCTGAGAGAAAGGGGATGGAAGAGAAAGTATGGAGATTTTACTGTTGCATTCTAATCAACCATGATCTGCCTAATTTGCTTTGATCAGGAAGATAAACTAATTTTTCTATGGGCTGGTTAAAAGTAATTAGCAAGCCAAAGCTTTCATGTTATTTCAAAAGAGCTAAAGTAAAGGGGATCAGAAATTGTAATGCTGGGAGCTAAATACATCTTTTCTGCTCATCTAAGAGCACTGTTCATTCAAAATAGGATACTGACACAGAAGAGAAACTCCAGCTAAAGATAGTTTCATGGGCTGCATAACCATTGTAAATCCAGGGATTTACATAGTTAGTGCTATGTAACTAAACAAGGTTACCAAAGGTGACTTATAATTGGTGTCTGTGTCATATAGTCCTGCTGTTTTGTGGGAACACCTTTACCTTCATGTAAAAAGGTGCAATTATTGTCTGGTCCTAAAGCATTGTTGGTTTTTCCCTGAAGCTCAGCCTTTCACATGTGAGTTGTTGGAGGCAGTTGCCTGTGTTTATTTGAACCCCAAGCTGTTGCTGCTTCTCTCATGTACACAGACCCAGCCAGCTTGGGATCCTACAATCCTGGACATACTAGAATGGGATCTAAGATCAAATTGAAAAAGTTAGTCAGGAACCTGACGCCACAGATGCTTCAATTTCACAGCCTGGTTCATGGTTTTTGTGCCAGTTACCAACTTCAGTAGTGCCGCCTCCTCCTTTCTTGTTTTTTTCTAAGCTCCCAAACACATGTAGTCATTAGATGAGAAGGAAAGATTTTGAAATACGGGATTTTGTTTCTTAAAAAAAATCTACTATTTAGTGTTACTTTTTTTCTTGTTGATATGACCTTTGCATTACTTCCCTTTTCAAACTGTTGTAGTAGATATGGTATCTGTAACCCTACTGTAAACTTAATTGCTTTTTTGGCTACTAATCTCCTGCGCTAGGGTTCTTAGATACCAAAGTGTGTATTTCAAGTCAGATTTAATGTTCCTTATAAAATGAGAAGATCTTTTAAAAGGGCCTCTGTGAGGTTGGAGCTCAACAAGCTTCAAGGTTATAGAGAAATTATTACTGTGGAATAATTATAAAGGAAACTAGAGAATATTTAAAGACCAATATTCTACCTTACATTTAAAATTACTTAAAATAATTGGATTTAGTTTTCTGATTTTTTTCTACTATTTTTTGGAAAGCTGCAGTCAACAAACATTTTAACTCTTCTTTCATTGTTTTAAAAGTCCTTAAGCAGTGTTTTAAAATGTAAGTCTGTTTGTACTTTCTTGCTAGTTTTTATAAAGTCTAGAAAAGATGGCGACTATTATGAGTAAGAAGTCAATCTATGACTGTGGAAGAGATCTTTCATAGTGTCAGCTTCGTGTTCCTGCAAATTTATTCGTTCATTTATCCGTTTATTCACACAATTAATATTTTTATCAACTGCCCACCTTGTGCTAGATGCTGAGGGTATAGCAGTTTACAAGATGTACACAATCCTTGCCTTTGTATGGCAGCAGAAATTTTTTAAATGCATATTTAAATGTAAATTATTAAGATGAAAGAGCTCTGATGGCAAACAGGAGTGCACTAAAAGAGAACCTGCCTGGTCTTGGTGGTCAGGGAACACTTCCCTTGGGAAACGACATTTAATCTGAAACTTGGAGGATGAGTTAGAGTTAGCCAAGGAAAGGAGAGGGAAGGAGTATTCTAGACTTTCCCATTTAAGTCTGAGCAGTGGCTGAATTCTCCTCTGTGCTTTCTGTACTTCTAATATATAGCATGACCTAGTAAGACCAGTATGTACCTTATACAAAAGGAGGCCTTAATGCAGTCCCTAAGAGGCAGAATCCTCCTGTGAGATCTGACCTATAATTACTAGGAGCCCTCTCATAAGGCAAAGCACTCTGCAGTTGTGTTCTGATTTCATAAATGTACCTTCTGCCTTACTGGCTTATAGTTTTACTGGGCATATCTCATTCATTTTCAATTCTTCTGAAATACAATTATGAATTCATTTATTTGCACCCCTAATAATAACATAAGGAGAAGGTAGCAATCATGGCATATGAGCCTGTACATTTTTCCTGCATTTGATGGGGAAGCCAGAAGCTGAGGGCCAGGTACATACGCTGAGCCCCACTCCCCACTGGAAGTAGAAAGCATGAGTCCCCTCTATTCTTCTCACATTCATGGTAAACTCTCCCAATTTTTGTTCACAAGGGGGAGCTGGCCAAACCTAAGTTTATTAATTCAACTATTCAACTGATATTTGTTCCTCACCTACTATCAGGCCAGTTCTAGACCAGGCCCAAGAAACAAAGATGAATTAAGGAACAGCCTCTGCTCCCTGGAGTTCACAATTTAATTGAGGAAGACAGGCAAGAAAACAAAAGTAGTGTAGTGGTTAAGAGCCTTCCTCTGGGATAATCACTTGGTATTGGAATCCTGGTACTGCCCCTTATTTGCTTGGACAAATTATTTGTACTGATAATTTAGAATAATTATTACTCCTATAAATTATAATAATTTATAATTATTGATATTGTTATAAATAATTATTACTCCTCTGGGGCTTCCATTTTTCTCATCTGTGAAATAGAATGTTTGGGCTAGAGCTGTTTCCAAGGTTTATCTGCAGACCACTTAGAACAGTGCCTGGCAGGTAGTAAAGACAAGGTAAGGTTAGCTATTATTACTAACAGAGGTTGGTATAATGTCCTGTGGAAGCAGAGAGAAGAAAATCATTCACTCCACTTGGAGTTGAAAATACTTCACAGAGAGGGTCATGTTTGCCCTGCTCTTGAAGAATGGGGAGGTTTTCACCTAGAGGGATGGGGCATACCCTCTAGAAGTCAGGACCCACATCAGTGCAGGCACAAGAGTGTGAAAGCATGTGGAAGGAAATTTTCAGATTGGCTGAACATGAGACAACAGTGACTGGAAATGAAAAAATGATGAAGAGAGAAATACAAAAAGGATCCTAAGAGTCACAAGGACTCATGGGAAGACACTAAAAGTTTAGTGTGGAGAAGTTGGCTAAACTTACTTCTCAGTTCCAATCATGACTTCTGCCTGCCAAATAAAGCGTAAGGTCCTTCTTCAAGTTTTCCTTCACAGCACATCAAGCTTCTGAGTCTCAGGGTTTTCATCTCACTCTGTTATTGATTAACTATATGACTGGCAGGTACCATTTAACTCTTACTGATCTGTTTTGTCTTCTACTATCTGTTATATCTTCTGCTAAATGATAATTCATCCGGTGCTCATTTTAGTGAATGCATCCCCCTGGCTTAACTTTATATACAGTAAGGGATGCTTAACTTGCAAATTAATGCCATGTTTAACCCACAGACATTACGTGTCCCTGAACCGGTGGAAAAGTGGAGGCAGAATCAGACTGGGATTCCTCTATAACTTGTTTATTTTCTCAGGAATCATCCAGCCCCATTCTTCCTCCTCTCCTACATAGTGACTTCCATTTCATCCCGCCTTACACAGCGCCTCCATTTCCTATTGTAAAACAGGGCTAGTTTTCTTACTTCTCCACATCTTTGCTCAACCCTTCCCCTGCAAAATAAGTGAATGAATGAATGGTTTCTGCATAGCACTCTCAACTAGGCTGTTATCTTGAAACTCAATCCCACCCACTTCAAAAGGCTTTCAGAAATCATTGCTCTGCTGAGAACAGAACCATGACAGATCTTCCCAGGAATTGTTCCTTATCCACTCTCCTTGCCACAGCATCCACATTTGGAGGTTATAATCTGTCTTGCACCTTTTCTGGTAGTAAGCACAGCAGCCAGAAACCACAGTTTAGCCTTATCTAGATCTCCAGGCTTCTGATGACCTATGTGTCTGCCCTGCCCCCTTCCCTCATATCTCAGAAGGGACATGTTTGCCCCTTTTCCAAAGTTATCATGCATCTATGATCTGTCATTCCATTCCCTTTTATCTCCTGGGAATGATAGTTTATTCATTCAGCAAATTTTTATTGAGAATGAGTTATGTAAGGTGCTATGGAGGACACAAATGAAAATATCAGTTAATTATCTTCCAGACATATGAAATCTAAAATGTCAGTATCATTCCATACTGTATTAAATTTGCTAACTTGGCATTTTACTTGATAAAGGGATTTCCATTTGAAGATATCACCATAGCATCCTCTATTTCCGCCTTTTAGTCTATTTATTATCATGCTCCCCACTAGCATAGCACTTGGCACATCTAAGTGTTATATACATATTTTCTATTGGGGGAATGATAGATTCCTCACTTCAAAAAGCAAAGGGTCTTTCCTGTGCTCTTCAATTTCCTCAAACTGTTTCCATTCTGTCTCCTTCCCCTCTCTACCAACATTCTTGAAAGAGAAGGCCATATTCATTGCCACCATTTCATTACCACCCAGTCACTCTTTCATCCCTTTTGAAATCAGCCTGCCACCTCCACCATTCAACTTAAATCACTCTGTCTTAAATGCCACCAATGACCTCCTACTGTCTAGTCCAAATGGCCTTTTCTTAGTCCTCAATCATCCTGGACCACTCTCCAGCATTGCACTCTGATGACCATCCCCTTGTCCCATCTGAAGTGGGGTAAATACTCCAAGAATCCAGCCTTAAATGCACAGGTTTTGTAATCTGCCGGGTGTGAATTTGGCCATGGTCCAAAGCTCAGTTTCATTATCTGTAAAATGGGTTAATAGACCCTGTTATCTGTGCTTGACACATGCCTGCTCAGCCTCCTAATGGGTCTCCTTATCTCCCTCTCATCTCATGCATGTGCCACTGCCAAATCAGTCTTTCTAAATTGAATGCTGATCGTGTCACTTCCCTGCTCAGAAAGCTCCAGCAACACCCAGGGATGGGAAAACTCCAAATCCATAGTCCTGCATGCAAGATCTCTACAATCACCTCAAGTCATACCCAGCTGTGCTCCAACAGCAGGACTCATGCAGGACTGAGAGTCTGGAGAGAGTTTCCTCTGTCAACTAGGCCTCTGAATGGCTGTCATTTAATATCTCCTTATCTAGTGTCTTCATTAGCAGATTGAAATCCTAGGTTAATTTAAAGCTAAAGCTCCTCCTAGCTATAAAATGCTAAGATTTGACCTTTCTGGCCTTATTTTTCCATATTCTCTTTTCAACTTTTCTATTCAGGAAAATTGGACTGGGATCCATTTTTCTAACCTATTTCTGCTTTCCTCCCCCTGTCTTTGCTCTCACCAGTTTCTCCCATGGGCAAAAGTCCTTCCTGCAAGCTCTTCTCAACTACAGTCTCCTCATCAATGGCTGGGAGTAATCGTCTCACCCAATAGATGCCAGTCATCTTTTATGGTGCATTCATGCCAGGCAAGTCTCATTTGGACCACTGCAATTTTCTCCTCACTCTTCCCATTGCCCCTCTGGTGGAAGCTTTGCACTCTGACTAATTCCGTCTTCCTCTTGCCAGTTTTGGCTGTGCCACACCTCACTTAAGGACCCATCATGCTGCAACATTGTCCAGTGCTTCAAATCCAACATCTTTATCCAAGACTTCAAAACACTTCATTAATACATCCCAGATAATCTTAGTTCTCTCATCTGCCCACTGCTCTTCAGGGAAAACTCACACCAAAGTAGTCATATCATATATGGATAGGGCATTAAGGGGCTTGAATTTTTAATATTAATTGTGTCGCTAACTAGACAAATGCCCTTACAAGTTAGTATAAAAACTTCAACTGTGATTGTATTTTATTAAAAATTTAGTATTATGGTTTTAGCACATTTAGTCACTTTACAATAGATAAAGTAAAATTATATAAATATTTGAGTGCATTTATACTCCAGCCCAGTAGTTTATAACTGGGGCAAAAATCAGAATCATTCATGGGGATTTTTTTAAAGTTCACATTCCTGGGTACCACCTCCAGAAAAACCTGAGCATCTGTTCTTGAACATTGACACAGGTGATTAAGACTGCTGGCTTGCACAACTCAAGGAATTGTGCAGTGCACAGCTCCACAGCTTTAGGAAGTGGCCCAAAGTAGACTCAGACTGTATATTCTCTTAGCTTCAGTCGAGAGGTTTACTTAGGCTTTAGCATTAGAAACATTTGGGTTGAGATCTTAGCTTTGTCACTTACTTGATGTGTGACTTTGAACAAATTACTAAGTCTCTCTAAACCTCAGTGTCCACATCTATAAAATGTGACAGTGATAGTACTCACTGTAGAGGATAAAATGAGACTGGTTCTACAAAGTACTCAGTACAGCACCTAGCAGATAGCAAACAATCAGTAAATGTCAACCATTATGATGACAATGATGATTATTTAAGTCCGTCTCTCCAAATCCCTACTTGACTAAGTAGCTTTGAGACCAATTTACGATAGTACTACAGAAAATATTAACACAAGGTAATTGATCATTCTACTGTATACTTGTAAAGATTAGTATCTCTGCAACAAACAGCTCTCTTGCCTTTATTATTTATCTACAGGTTATTGGCATATATTTTAGCATATATAAATTATAATATACATATATGTATACATATATATGTGTGTGTATATATATAATCTCTAGTACATCAAATGACCATGTAAAAGGTCTTGATCCTGCCTGACTTTTAAACCAAAAGTTTAAAAGGAGGCCTTTGTCAGTATAGGCAAAAAAAGCACTGTCTCAGAGGTTAGCTGATAACTCTTTGAAGTGCTAATTTTTGGCCAAAGGAATATAGAAACCTCTGCAAAAATATGTTATTGTAGGGTGGACTTAAATGTCAGTTTATAAAAGATTCTTTAAATCATGTATGTTGTATTCCTTCACAATACTTGCAAATGTAATTAAATAATCACTTGTATTATTATCAGCTTAATGTTTATTTCCATGAAAAATATCTCAAAGGAAGACTCTAAAGAGACAGGAACTATATCTGTCTTGTTCACTGTTGAATCCCTTGAGCTTAATACCATGCCTACCACATAATAAGTGCCAAGTAATATTTGTTGAATAAGAGGAAGAAAGGAGGATAGGAGGGAGGGAGGGATGAATCTTTGTATGTCCACATATTTATCACAGACCCAGGAGCCGTGCCCAGAATCAACTTTGAACTACAAGTGAAATATACAATCTGGTTAGGGGTATCTGACATATTCAGAAGTACATGACATGAAATACACTTAATAAGTGTTTTAGGAAAATGATGACTTTCCGGAAGGGTTAAACACAAATAGAGGAGACACAGGGCCACAGGCTGATCTAGAAGATGGATTGAAAGAGACAAAAAAATGAACTGAGTTAAGAAAAATCAGAATTATATCACATAAGCTACAATTATGGCCCTAGAGTAGACAGAAGGGAAATAATCGTAAGTCTATATTAAGGAGAGTTTCAACCGGCTACAGGATACATCTGTTGTTTGAATAAATACATTCAATATCATAATTGCTTTGATTTTAATAGTGATATTTAATTTAAAATGTCTTTGAACATTCAAAGTTGGCATGAGATTTTTATGTTCAGAAAACAGGGGTGTAGGTTAAAAAAGTTTTCCTGGGAAGCAGACTTGGGGTTAGAGATTTGAGTAAAGAATATCCTGGGGTGTACCTTCAGGATCAAACCTGCAGAGAGATGGAGGACTGAAGAAGGCAGGATTGGGCAGAGGGAGAAGTTAAACTGAGATGAGGTCATAAGATCCTCTGCTAATACTACAGGGAGCTCTGGCATGGAGTGGCCCTTCAGAAATGTCCCTTCATACCTTCAGACCGACCAGTTATTGGAGGCAGGCGTCCCCCTCCCTAGTGCCTCCTCGAAGTATGACCTTGGGCAAGGAGCCTCTCTTTAATCGTTCACCAAGGCAGCTCAGCTGGAGCTCCAGCTGCACGAATGAGAGATTCAATCCTGAAGCAGAGGTAACTGGGCAGCATACCCTAACATCTCCTAAAACTGGTCTGAAATGATTTAGTTGGGAAGAAGGAGTAAACAGGTAAGACTGCCATTGTTCTTAGGAGAATCATGAAAGTGGACTCACCACAGTAAGGCGGTGCTACTCTGAAAATGGCCAACCCTCAGTAGGATCCTTAAATTATTTCGACTTTTTCTTTTCCATTTTCCTGCTCTTCTGTTTCAAAGGCTCCTTTAACTTTCTAGTTAGTTCCTTTCCTGTCTTTATCATATGTGCGTGCATTTCTACTGTTCCAAAGAATGTTTATGATCCTTGGCTTTTCTCCCCCTGTGCTTTAAACAAAACTCAGTTTCCTAGTACTAGGATTCCTCAGGGAATTACAGAACAGCCTCAGAATACTACCATGCTAGCTCAACTCCATCTCCCATCCAGCTGCATAAACTTCCTTTCTTCCTGCATTTATAGTTTCCATGTCCATCAGGTAAACGCCTGCTATTTAACACCTGGCAGAAGGATGTTTTTCAGTTTCCTCTATTAGAAACTTACCTCAGGATTCCTTTTTCAGGTAACATAAACTGATTAACTGGAAATGAGAAAATAAGCAGTGTCTGGTAATCCAAAGCACAGAAATTATCAAATGGCCACTTCCTAACCACTCAGAAAAGTCTAAATAAAACTAATTCAGTGAAACAACAGCAGCCACTGTATTTTGTTGGTCTTCAACTGTGAACTCTTAAAAGGCAGCAACTGCACCTCTTCCATACTCCTTTCCATTGCACAATGTCTAGCACACTGTTAGAACTCAATAGAATGAGATAATTTTTTATCCAGCACTGCACCTGGGAAGACTGGCAAAGTGCCACCAACTAGATGGCTGGTGTACTTCAGTGATTCCTGTGCCTTTATGTAGACATAGAAAGTCATGAATTACACCATCTAGACAAACTGCTATGAGGATTATCCATTGAATAGGACAGTTTTTTTGTTTGTATTTTTAGAATAAGGACAAAATATACTAGCATAATCCTTCTTTCTGAATCAAGAGTCAAATCGAAGGAGCAAGGAGGATTATGAAATTATGTTACTTCTGTATCATCAACTCTGAAAGGGCTTAACATTCCATCATTTCATTTTAGCAAAGATTTTATTTTATTAAATGGAGTTCAAACATTTAAGGTGCTCTTACTAAACTGATAGTTCTTTAGGATTCCTTGCTTGGTAAAATATTAGATGGTGTAAAGTTGTGAGAATATCATGTAAAGAAGTCACCTTGCATTGACTTCTTTAAATTGAATGGGAAGAAGATGAAGAAATGAAAAGTAAATGTAGCAGATTAAATAAAAAATTCACTTATTTGGGGGATAAAAAGAATGTTCTGCATCCATGATTCTTCACGATCATACTATTTTGCAGTTAGATTCCCTGCCAAAAAAAATTGATCCTATAATACATGTGATAATAATTTCCTCTGTCTTCCATGTTTTTTTTTTTATGAGTAGTAGGTAAGGAAGAGCTGGAAAATTATAAAGAATTGAAAACTTAAAAGGTTTTCTTTGGTATCTAAGGTCTGGTTGTCATTTTCAGGTTTTCTAAATTTAAGAAAACTGAGGAGATAGGAACATAACGATGGCTCTTTTGGGAGCTATTGATTTTGTGAAATTGGTAACACGTCCTCCTTGGAAATAGGCAGAATGCATCTGACTTTAAAGTTGTAGTGAATCTTCAGTGATAATGAGAGTTACCAAGAAGTTATGTAAGGTAGGGTATGAATGCTTGGAGGATGAGGAAGGCAAAAAGGCAAATAATGTGGACCAGGTTTTTTTTTTTTAACAAAAATAGTCATCATTTATAATCTGCCAGACTTCCCATATGTTAACTTATTTAATCCTGACATCAAACCGGTGGGGTTTGTTTCTATTCCATAAATAAAGAAATCAGAGAAGTTAAGGAATTTTCCAAGGTCACAAAACCAATAAATAGTGGAGTGAGGGGATTTGAAAAGAGATCTGTCTGATTCCAAAGCCTGTACTTTCCCCAGGACTCTAAGAGAATTTCAGCTATGATGGCCATTCTAATTTGCTTCCAGAAGGCTGGAGTTTTAAAGTTACTTTAAAAGGTAGTGAAGATAATTGTACATTTGAGAGAGACTTGTTCAAGATTTCACTGATGAGAAAGTGCCTGTGGAGGGGATTTGGCCTGAAGAACTGGGGACATAATAAATACCAGGAACCCAGTACTGAAGATAGTAGGCACTCCCTCTTTGCTGTCATTTTTAACATCTGCATCAGGAATGGCTGGTTGTCATTTCCTCTGTTTCTGATTATCACTATCTTTCTTGGGGAAATCAAAGTTGTTTCATTTGTCTGTTTGTTTGTTTGCCAGGTAGTGTTTGCTAAGGAAAGTATTAGCTACATGTAACTTCAGTAATAATTAGTAATATCAAAAAATATCTTAGAATGATGGTAGAGATCAAAACTAATATTTTCAGTGGACAAACAATGCCGATTTGGCAGGTTGCATGCAACAGTAATTTTAGTTGCCATAATTCTGAATATTCTGCCTAGAAAGTACTTGTTCTTTTCATGTCATTTCCATAGGAATGCTGTAAGTTCTAGAGATGGGTGTATTTTAACCTCATGAAAATCCAAAGTATTTTATTGTTTAAACTTGCAAAGCACATTCCATCTAAGAATTTCACAGAGCCTTATCTGATTCCTTATTAATTCTCACAAAGTTGAGAGAAATGCTTTTAAAAATATTACATAGGCTAAGGAACATTATGTCATATTAATGTGGGATAAGCAGATTGATTTTCACTAAACATTGTGAGAGTTTAAAAGGGTAATTGAATATTTTTAATGCTTTAGCCTTCATCTATTTAATTTGTTTCTATATTTATTTTGATGGCCAGAAGCTGTGCTGTAAATGACAAACTGGTAGGCAAGACAGTACCCAGACAGGTACATGTAGTTTTAGCAAGACTACTGGGACATTTGGAAAAATAAAATAAAATGTTGTCTGTTTTTAAAGGCAACAGTTGTAAAGTTGTCAGTCTGAGTCTCCTATTTGCACTGATTGCACTTGATAAAAAATAACAAGCTGTGACAAATAGAAGGGCAAAGTTTCAGTAATTCACTAAAGAATGTCTCTACCCAAAGCTTTGTGGCAAAAAAATGTCTTGTTTGAGGCACAATTGCAGAGTTGAAATAACAGCCCATGAATACCCTGGAGAAATGACTATGTACCCAAGGTGAATGCTAAAGCCTTCCCTCTTGAATGAGCCTTTTAATCAAGGCATTATCTAGGCTCTGAAAAAGTCTTCAGTGGTCCTACCTAAAGATTAATGGGAAAAGCCGAAACTCTGAGTTGGCCTATTTGCAGAAACAATTTTAAAGATTTACTGATGGTTGACAAATGCCATTTAAGCTTTCAAAGCCAGCCATATGCTTTTGAAAAGGATTTAAAGGAAATCCTCCCACTACAGAAGACAACTTTGAAGGATCTCTGTGGTAGCCTCTTTTTTTTTTTTTTTTTTTTTTTTGGTGCGTGGACATGTTGAGTTTTCTCTTTCCTTCCTTTTTTCCCACATCTTTGCTAAATTCCTAAAACGTGGGGCTCAGAAAAGGAATAATATATTTCTGTATTCAGAAGGTACTCATAATTTTGTTTGTCAGTGAGAATTAGATAAACTCTTGCCAAACAATTGTGTATGTTGAGAATATCTTTCTCAATTACCTTTGTATTAATATAAGAGCTGTAAATAGCCCCCCAAATATTAAAAGTGTAATGTCACATTGTTCGAAAAGAGAATTGATGCTTTCTAAATGTGTTTAGATTTTGTTCAATTTTTGTATTTTCGTTTAGTTTAAATTTATGTTTAGTTTTAATGTGGAGATTATTTTCTACTTCCAGAATGACTATGGGCACCATTTTCCTTCTACATTCATTCTCTGAGCATTTTGCCATTGGTTTTTGGCCAGGTGAATTTATTCAGCCTGAAAAGTAACCGACTTCCAAAGAGATTATATTTAAAACATTTCTTCATAGGGTAAAAATCTGAATGCAATTTTAAAATATTACCCAGTCATAATGTGGATTAGAATTGCCTCACTTCACACTTTGTCATTGCCTTCTTCTACTAACTTCAGTGGAATCTCGAGGTGATTTCATAAACAGGGCAAACTCCTGGCGTCCTCTGGCCTGATCCTGGAGGCTGAGATGAGTCACTGTGTGCTGGGCGGGCCTGTCACTCCAATTGCCTGCCTCCGCGTGGGCGCTGGGAGTGGGAATCAGTGCGGTTCAGGAGCAGCACGCTCTGGCCTTGTTTGCCCATTTCCCTGGGCCGCTGACAGTGATCTGACAGAAAGCGACACTGACACAAAGAAGCCAAGAGGGGCAGGAGATGGGGGTGAGGTCAAAGCGGAGAAACTGAGAAAATCCAGTGAAGTGGAAGCTGAAAGGATAAACGCATGAAGGCTTAGAGCCGCTTCTCGGCCCACTTCAGTCGGCCACACCTCCCCCAAACCCTGGAAGAAATGCCCCCACTTAACTGCCTTGGTAACAATTAAAGGCCCAGTGCCATGAAGGAAGGAAGGGTTTTTACAGAAGTGCCTTAAATCCCACTGCCTCCCCGCCGCCCCACCCGCCAACACCTAGAAAGTCTTGTAGTGAGTTTCCTGCTCTTTCTTTTAAAAGCAGGAACCTAATGAAGGCTCACCTCTAGGCAGAGTACCATCGCACAACACACATTCCAGTGTGCAGGGCCCTTTCTTGTCCTCCCTTCTCACCTGGATTATTGAAGTGACCCGCTGTGGGCTGACTGTCCTCTAATTCATTCCCAGGCCACCACCAGGGAGACATTTCTACCTCTGCTAAAAAACCTTCAGTGCCTCCTGGGGGTATCCATACCACCAGCAGTATCCAAAGTGATCTTAGTTGATACTGGGTCATGAAATCTAAAACATCTTATCACCTAAAGGGAAAGTTGCTCCCTTTTCAATTTCCCTTCAGCCCTTCTGGCTTCATCAATGAGAAAGTCTTAGCCAGGGTTAGTTTGTCTTCCACACCTCTGTTGCTCTCACTAAACTCCCTTTTTATCAAAGGGAGAACAGGCTTCAGGCTCAGTTTGACTTGGCAGCAGCTAACTAGGAATATAACTAGAATTTATTAACATTGTTTGGTTTTCATTGTATGTACTTTAACAGTTTCCTTCCATGTATGACAGATGATACTGGTTTTCTATTTACAGGTAATGATGGATCTTTTCCACTTTTATTTAACTTCCCTAGGTAATTTGAGTCCAATAATATATATCCATAGGTCTATAGATATGTCTACATACACACATATATGTCTTTATGTATGTAGATGTGTGTATACACATACGTAACACAAATGTGTATAGAATCATATTTAAGTTACTGTCCTTATAGCAAAATAATGAGTTTGGGAAACACTAGAGTATGAGATAAAATCCAAACGCAGCCTATAAATCTTGCTATAATCTTACTCCCACCCCATCTCTAGGCAGGCTCAACTTTCTGCACTGCCTCATGGACACCTTACAACAAACCATCTCTGACAGAACATGTGCTGTCCCTGCACGTGAGGCCAAGATTGTCTTCCTCACTCTACTCTACCTAGATGATCCCTCTTCATCCCTAGATTAGGCACTAGGCCACCCCTCAATGGAGCTTTTCTGCCCCATCTTACCCATGTTCCCCTTGTCTGAAGTATGCTCCCCTCCAATGAGCTCCCGCAGCATCTTGGTTACATCTTTATTAGAGCACTTACCAAATTCATAACTATTTGTTTGTCTCCCCTCCCCATGAGGACAGGAATGTTGTTCAGATCCCTGACACACCTATCTGGTGTACAGTATTTGTTCAGTAAATGTTTAATGAATTAACAAATTCTTTTTATCAGGAAGGCAAATTATCAGAGCTACCTAATAATCAAAACTTTTTAATAATAATATAGTAAATGATTAATAAATAATGAAGTCAACCATAATGGGTAAGAATAAGGGCTCTATCAAAATGTGGAAATAACCCAAATGTCCACCAACTGATGAATGGATAAATACAGTGTGGTATATCTACACAATGGAAAATTATTCAGCAATTAAAAGAAATTAAGTACTGATACATGATACAATATGAATGAGCCTTGTGTGTGAGTCTGTTTGTACAAAATGTCCAGAATAGGCAAATCTATTCTGACAGAACTAGAGACAGAAGGCAGATTATGTTGCTTACAGCTGAGGAGTAGGAGGATGTTGGACTGGTTAGTGACTGCTAATGGACATGGGATTTCTGGGTGATGAAAATGTCTGAAGTTAGATTTTGGTAATGGTTGGAGAACTATGTGGATATACTAAAAATCACTGAATTGTAATACTTTAGGTGAGTTGTATGGTATATGAATTATAGCTCAATAAAGCTGTTTTGTTTTTTTTTTTTTAAGAGTGAGGGCTCTAAGAAAATTTGTTTTGAATCCTCCGCAACTTACCAGCTAGTGATCATGGGCAGGATATTTAGCTTCTCTGTGACTCAGTTTCCTTCCTATAAAACAGGAGTAATAACAGCCCCCACCACAAAGGATCATTATGGAGACTGAATAGGCCAAGCACAGTGCCTGTGACATAATAGCACTCAATAAATATTAGCTATCATTATTACTAAAAGAGTATGTAGTATATTCTGAATCATGAGGGAAAAAAACAACATATTCTAACATACTTGTAATAGTCTTTGTGTCTTAGTGACATGCCTTCAGAATGATAAAATAAACTTTGGGGACTCAGGGAAAAGGGTAGAAGGGCGGTGAGGGATAAAAGACGACACATTGGGTACAGTGTTCACTGCTTGGGTAATGGGTGCACCAAAATCTCAGAAATCATCACTAAAGAATTTATTCATGTAACCACACACCACCTGTTCCTCAAAAACCTAGTGAAATTTTTTTAAACATAGTGATGTGCCTGCAGCATATATAACATTCTTAGTTAATAAGAATACTTTTTACTTACTCATATACTAATTTTATATACCATGTACAATTCATGACAAAATGCATGCATATACATACATTATAATGCCATTTAAACCTTAGAATAGCCCTATGAGATAACTATTATTATCCCCATTTTATAAACAAGGAAACTGATGCAAAAGGTAACTTGCTCAAGTTTCCATGCCTCATACATGGCAGAACAGAAGCCGTCTGACCTCCAGGTCAGTGTTCTTTCCAGGACACCAGGCTCTCCCCGGAGCAAGTATGCCCACAGATACATACCCAGTAAACAGGGAAATCACTCCAAGGGAGAGCTGCCCCAATAGATATAATAGGTTTCACAAAGCTGTCCTTATTCAAACATATCTCCCACATCAAACAACCACAACATGTCCTCCTATCTTGTGTGAGATTTTACAAGAAGAAATATTCTTTTGAAATGGAAAATAGGCAAAGCCTTTGTTTCAAGAATGTTGTTAAACAAACATAACCTGAGAAAGGATAGGGCTGGGGGATCCATACCACAAGGGTGTGATCCTTGTCTCTCAACACTGGCATTGTAACACTATTAAGAATACTGGCTAAACAAGAGCTTCTAACATCTGACTTCCATCACTCTAGTCAGTAGCAAAATATGTGTTACACATGGCATATGAATTCCACAGCACACGTTGATTGTATAAAGCACATTCTATGATCAAAAAGGACAATGCAAACCTAATCCTAAGTGGATAGTAGAATTCACTTGGAATATCTGGGAGCAACCTTTATGGCTTTAGGTTAAATTCTCTCTCCCCAAGAGTGAGTATTCAATGAATAGAGTGATAGAAGCTTCAGTGCACATATACTATGCTATCAATAATTCATATATGAACATAATCGATTTTAGTATTTAATTATTGCTAAATCTCCACCCTCAAAGAGATTACAATCTAGTCTGAAAGATTTTAACGGTGGCCATGTCTTACAGGATCTTACATTCCCAGCACATCATGGATCTGGCACACAGAAGATTCTAACAATCAACATTCATAGAAATGTTGGTTGAGTGAATAAATAAGTGAATGAATTATGATTTGGGAGGAAATTGTGTAGTAGGTTTATAAATTATCATCTTTTCAACACTTAAAAAAATATTCATTATTAATTTGTTGAATGATGAATGGCAGGACTTTAAATGAATTAATGTGACAAGCTGAGTTTTCAGAAAGAAACTGAAAAATGAATGGCATTTTGGTTAATTTCCACTGCCCTGTCTGTTTTATTCATTTAAAAAAAATTTTAAGTCGGGGCATAATGGCTCATGCCTCTAATCCCAGCACTTCAGGAGGCTGAGGTGGGAGGATCCCTTGAACTCGGGAGTTCAAGACCAACCGGGGCAACATAGTGAGATCCTGTAACTACAAAATATTTTTATTAAATAAATAAATAAATATAAATATAAAAATTTAGAATTTGGTTTAAAAAGAGGGATAAATTTGCAGTGATAATTTAAGTCATCCTTAATTTTAAGAATATGATTATTCAATTTACCAGATTACTAGTGTTTTATTATTATATATAAAACAAATGAAATTACAGAACAATTATCTATATATCCTTAGATCCTGAAGTAATACACTCTGTATTCATTTGCAATCATTAAAAATTTAGAGTCAGTTTACCATCCTACCAAGTAGCTAAGTAACAACACCTCGCTTTCCCAGAGGTCAGTCTTCTTGCAACTTCAGCCTCTTAAAACAAATCCAAGAGTTGAAAAAGGATGCTGAGTGTCGAATATTACTGTACAAATCTCATGCACTAAAATCTCTTCAAAAATGAGCCCTGGGATCTCTTTCACATCCTATTTGTTTTCTTTTACATATAATCCAGATAAGCTTTCTTATTTGGCTTTTGAATGTACGTTGAATATATATTTCAATTCTATAAAAACTAAATACAAAAAAAAAAATCCCTTTCACTTTTCATTGATAACTGCAGGACTTATCAACTAATAACCCAAAAAACAGCAAAGGATAAACAATTCAGAAATTAGAACCAAAAAATAAAGCAAAGCTATCTATCACCATTTGGTGTGTTAACAAGGAATCCCACAGTTTTCACTCATTAGTTTCAAAAGTTGCTCCCGAGCAGGTACTGGTGTTTATAAGATGGTGACCATGAATGATAAGAAAAATTAAAATTCTTTTTAAGACAGTAAAGTATAGAATAAATTACTAAAATATTCCTATACCAATTTTTAACATTGAAACTGTCTTGGCACTTTAAAGGATAAGCTTCAGTTTAGGTGGGAGACCCACACCTACAGAAAAATCTATTTTAAAATCGACCCAGTAAGTGGGGAGAAGTTATTTTGGTATTTAAAGTTTATAAACGGATGGTTTAGTTCCCCAATCTTTTAAAATACTACCATTAGTAAATATATTACAAAGCAACATATGTTAATACTCTCTAGATTATGTCCTTGCCTGTATTCAATTTCACATGACAGTATGTGGAAAAATCAATTTACTTAATTTTAAGCTTGTAGGGCTTCTTTTAGATAATGTTCAAAACTATAAACAATGTAGCAACTGATCGTCTTCTAGAATGAGTCTGATAAAAAGTGAATTATGTAATTCTTGAACTTGGAAAAGGAGGAAAAATACATCATAGCATAGAGTTACTTTAAAGCTTTAATGTTGGCCAAGGGAGATTAAATTGCCTTTGGGGTGTACAGATGCAGAAGATTCCGTTGGTGTGCTTTTCAAAGCAAAGACAGATGATATTAGGAAATAAAGCATGAGGGCTTCTGCTTTAATCTGTCCACATTAATGTTTTGATCTGTGACTAATTGGAATTGCAAGTAGGGTTCAAGAAGATTCTCAGCCAATCTGAGGCTAGCAGACATGTAAGTCTCCCAAAAATGCATCTAGGAAGATTGCTTGACCACAAATGAAAGAACGTGTGAAGAATTGTTCTAATTTAAGCCTGTTAGTGCATCTAATTCAAAATTAATATGGAATAATGACACAAAAATGACAAAAAAAAGTTGGCTATCAAGAAAGAAGGAAAATAAACTAAAATATACTATACAATCTCCAAAATTAAAACACTGTTCCCTTTATACGTCTTTAATTTAAAACAAAAGAAAAAGAACTGCCACCCAAGAGATTTACTAAATCCAAAGATGATGTCATTTCCCTGCTTAAAGTCCTAGAGTGGCTCCCAGAGCCTCCAGGATAGTCTGAACTTCTCAACGTGACATATGAGGCCAGCTTGATCTGGCCTTGGCTGTTGATGCTTTTCAGGCCTCCTAATGGGTCGTGTTGCAACACAAGCACTTCCATTCAACTATGCCAATCTATTGTAGTTTCTGCAGAACAGCCTGCTCTCTTATGCTGCGACGCTCTTGTACATGCTGTTCTCCTACCAGAAATGCTTTTCCTTCTCTCACTCATCCCCCCCTTATCATAGCTGATATTTCTTTTCAAGACTCAGTTTAAGTGTCAGGGCCTCTTGGAACCCTAACAAAAGAAAGGTTGTGATTAACAGTTTAATATAAGTAAAAAGAAAATTCTCAGAGAGTTTAGTGGAAGAAGAGATTAATTCCTAATCAGCTAAGATCTAGGAGAGATTTTTATGGGAATATAGATTTTATATTAAATCTGAGAGGACAATGAAACTTTTACCATTTTTATCTTACTTAGAAAATGAAGATCTTTATTCTATACATCCTTTCCTCCTTGGACGAACCTTGAGAGTTAGCTTGGAGATTCTAACAGGATAGAAAAATCACTGATATGTTGGGGATTGACACGCAGGGTTCCTCTGTTAAGGAAGGTTGTCCTCTTTGAGCAGAAGGTTAAATGGGGGCTCACATATGAGGGAATATTAGGACACTATCCAGCCAGCCAGATTAATAGGTGGACAGTAAATTCACCCAAACCCACCAGTTCCAGTGGTTCGCTGGAACACCAACCACTTCGTCTGAATACCAACCTGACCTTACTATTCTTCATTTGATATTGAAAAAGGGCTACTGAAATCCCATCTGCTTCAAGAAGCTCTTCCTAACTAATGGAAAATGTATTGACAGTTTTGTTGACATGCAGTAGTTAAGGACATGTTCTTCATAGGCATACAAACTTCTAAGTGAGATCATTCTGAGTAAATTGCTTAACTTCTCCCCAATGTGTGTCTACTCTAGGGTTCAAGCCTGACTGAGGAATGATCCATCTACTTCTAGGAAGTATCTAAAAGGAACTGTGCCTAACTGGAGAAGTCTGGGTCAAGGGCAGTGGGATTTGCCATGGTGGTAGCATGGGTGACAGTGGTACCAGTGGAGCCCTGAATACTTTTTTGTCTCAGATATAAAACGCCAAAGTTAAGCATCTAAAATAGCTGACTGGTGGATCGTTGATGGCATCTTGACACATTACCACAGCCAAATCAGGGCAGGAGAAGAGGTAAACAGCAGACACCACACTATGGTCAAAAGAACTAGTTCTTGGCAGGGAGATGAGTCATCCCAGCCAAGGCTGGAACTTTCAGCATGATTTTGGGAAAGAAATCTGTTGGGAACTAAGTTCCTAAGTGTGACTACAAGCAAAGTTATGGAGAGAATATGTTGTGGCTATTTTTAATCAGGTTGGCATGGATTAGAAAAATAAAACGTTATACCTAAACAAGCAGATATTTGCATAACTGCTATGTGGTCCCAGCTTAAGAAAAATATAGCCGATTAAACAAATGTTTATCTCAAGTGACAGAAAAGGAACTTAAAAAGCATAAACCTACAAAGATAAAGAAAACAGGAAAGAAATTATAGTAGACAGGTACATTAACAAATTTGTGAAATGTCTTAAGAGAAAATGACATGGAATAAGGCAAGAAGCAAGCCAATTCCTGCCATAAAACCCTAAAAAGGGAAGGTCAGAGTACTGGCAAAAATAGGAAGATCCACTGAAAGTCTTAATAAGAAGCAGTTAAACACATCCCTTAGCTCACACAGCCAGGCAACTGTCTCCTCACCACCCGTTTTCTCACCACAAACAATAACCCTGGTAGAAGACTGGTGATTTACAATCTGAAGACAGTGACCCCTGAGACTCCACACTAAACGGTGCAAATGGATGCCTCTGGGAAATGGGAATCAGGAGTGGAAAGGGTGGGACACGGACCTAATGGCTTTTTTGTTTCTTCATTATAAGGTTTGTAGTTCTTTAAAAAAACATGAAAATGTATACATTTAATAATATAATATATATTATATGTGATAATGTAATATATATGAAATATACTATGTATTATATATGTGATAATAAAATATACATTGTACATATATATCATTTTAACCTAGAATAAAATTTTTAAAAAGTAAAATAAAAGAATAAAAAGCTTCATACTCATTAAACAGATTTAAAACTACACCCTTTTGTATGAATTGATAAAATCCTTATCTTACTGCTGATAATGTAGTCTACTAACTGCCTTGGAAATTTTTCTTTTTAATAATGGTCTCCTTTCATGACACTAACTTCCAGGGACATAGTAAGTAGCACTAACACAGCCACACAAGCTGTGCATGCCCCAACTCTAGGGCAGCTGGAGTTGGCCATGTGTCAACTAGTGGTAAATTTCCATGAGTGTTAGCTCTCCACTTCTTACTGTTTCACTTATAGTAATATTTGCAAACTCACTCTCATGGTGGATACAACTCCTTGCCTCTGAGGCTCCTTTAGCGTAATCATCAATATGCGCTTCTTGAGTTCCCACCCATACCTCAGTTACTTTAA
This sequence comes from Homo sapiens, assembly GCF_000001405.40. Classification (NCBI taxonomy): domain Eukaryota; kingdom Metazoa; phylum Chordata; class Mammalia; order Primates; family Hominidae; genus Homo; species Homo sapiens. Next base: position 71,477,984 of record NC_000012.12, read on the forward strand.
CAGGTTCATTATAAAGATATAAGCATGGGTCTTCTCCTTTTTGAGATATCCTCATTTTTTTTCTCTTGCATCTTTTCTTAGTTAATAATTGATTTTACATTGGATATAACTTACACTGACATTTTGAATTTCTGATTATATATGTAGTCAGACTTGTTCTAAAAAGACTTTAAATTTTATACTTATTTTTATATTTTCTTACACTTTGTAACTTATTAACCAATAACAGTGAATTATTATACCTTCAGTTTTTGAAAGTGCATCAGTGACTTATTGGCTCTTGAGAGGCTTGTCAGCATATAAATGAATGTTCTATGGCAGACGTTAAGGAAAGACAGATGACCAACTTTATGCTTTTGGAAGGCAAATAAATAAGCCATGTTATTGGGAGCTAAAATGAAGTCTTACATATTTCTCAAATTAATTCAGCATTTGGTCTTTTCACTGGTATCTGAGTTTTGAAAATCTCCCTTCTCTAATTGTTGACTCTGCTCCCTCTTCTGGAACCTTGGTTAAATTGAATGGGAAAACTGTTTACTTGAAATTGAATAATGTCTTTTCTGTGTTGGTCAATAAGTCCCAGATTGAAGTAAAGACAAACTTTAGCTAGAAAATTATTCCCATAGCATAATTTAAAAGTGCTAACTATGGCATGGGGAAATTTTTGTCTCTCATTTTTCCAATGCACATCAGTATGCATAGGATTATTTTAGTTTAAAGAAAGGGAATGTTTAAAATAAACACATAGGTCATCAAATACAATTCAGGGGCTATCTTGTAATATTTTATTCTTTTGGAGAATTACATTTCTGTTTTTACTCCTTTGTTTTGGGTTTAAAATGCTTGAAAGCATTGCAAAAATAACAAGAACTCGTTAATTATATTCTGGGCACTTCAAAGAAGCTCAGAATACACTTTAAAAGCATTACATTCACATTCTCCATATCACTAAGGTAAGAAAGTGAAGATTGTTCTATTTCACGAAGGACATTTTCACTTTAAGAATAAGTTTATGTGTCTGTGCAGGCTCACATACTATTCAATTGCGAATCAGAGTAGAATCTGTGTCCTCTCAATTTGATTTTAAAATACAATCATATTTCTACATCTTTTACATTCAACGGGAAATTAACTAAAAAATTAATACGTTTTATTGGCTTCCTTTTATTTTTTTCTATGAGTTGTTCATTAATGTCTCCTTGATAAATAGATAAGCATTTATAATCATTTTTAGAAGTGCATTTTAGCTAACTGTTTAAAGGAAACACAAGGAAGATACAGTAATCTTTAACATCCTTAACCTGCTTGCTGTACTATCCTCCCAAACCTACAAAAAACATGTTTGTTAAAAATAAGCCTCCTAGAATAAGAAAGGAAGGGAATAGTGCCAGAGGATGCAGCATTTATTCAGCTGGTCAATCAACTGGAGTATTTACTGTGTTTCAACAACGTGCCAAATGCTGTTAAAAGCTGGCGATTCAGCACCCCCTTGCCCTTATGGCATTCAAGAAAGTAAGTCAGTAAGTAATGAAAGATGTGACCACAAACTTTTCTAAGTGAAAAGAATGGAGAGGAGGGAGGCAGGGAGAGGCAGGAAGAAGAGCAAGGAAAGGACATATTCTTTGAGAGGACATATTCTATATTGGAAGATCAAGAGGACTTATCTGGGGGGGTGGGGAAAGATATTTAAGAATGAAGAGGAGCCAGCCATTGGAAGGGACGGTGGGGTGCAGATGAGCATTATGGGCAGAAGTTAATGTACAGAAAAATCCCTGAGAAAGGAAAGGGCTTGGGGTGTAGGAGGAACTTCACAGTGGTGGGTATAACAACCAAGGTAATGGAGGGATGGAGGGACCAGTGGCTCAGGATGAGGATGGAGAGTTAGGCACTGTTCAAGCATTCAGGGCCCTGTCAACCATGCTTAGGCATTTGCATTACATTTAAGAAAGCACAGGAATCCATTGGAGAATTTTAGGTGGTGCCAGGGAATTATCTATTTCTGTTTTGGAAATCTAAGTTTGGCTGCCATGTAGAACAATCTATAGAGCGGGCAGGAGTGGAAGCAGAAAGTGGCCAAACACTTAAGAATGAGGAAGGAGGCTGGGTGCCGTAGCTAATGCCTGTAATCCCAGCACTTTGGGAGACCAAGGCGGGCAGATCACTTGAGGTCAGGAGTTCGAGAACAGCCTGGCCAACATGACGAAACCCCGTCTCTACTAAAAATACAAAAATTACCCGGATGTGGTGGCTTGTGCTTGTAATCCCAGCTGCTCGGGAGGCTGAGGCAGACACGCTTGAACCTGGGAGGTGGAGATTGCAGTGAGCCAAGATCATGCCACTGCACTCCAGCCTAGATGACAGAATGAGACTCTGTCTCAAAAAAAAAAAAAAAAAAAGAGAATGAGGAACAAGTGGGATGAAGCAGGCAGGCCGGGAGGTGTGACTAGAGAGAGTTGGTGAACGCTTCCTCTGGACAGAACCTTGTACCAGACACTTGACCTGTAGTGTCTCAAGTCTGCACAACCCCAGCAAAGCCTGGGAGCAGAAGCCCATAGGACAAGCATTCTCCAGATCCCTTCTCTTGAAGAAAAATTTTACTGGAAATGTACTTCTTGTGTCAATCCGAAGGGGGAAACCTTAGGACCCATTGGGAGAATAAAAGGCAGTCTGGTTTGACTGGAATATAGACTCTATGGAAAGGTTTAGAGAGAAATAAGCCTAATCCAGTGGATTAGGACTGGACCATGGAGACTTCAACCAACAGCTGATGAGATCCTTTCAAGTATCAGATGCTGCACTAAGGGCATTTGCCTACGTTATCTCATTTAATCCTCACATGGTGGCATAAAATAAGTGTTACAGTACATTAGGGCGTTAAGGCCACAAAAGCATAAAAGTGATCAAGGTCTAACAACAATAGGGTGGCAAAACTGTCATCTGAGACCCTGTTCTCTTTCCTAAATCAGTAACTCATTTTATCTTTCCTCATACGATAGCTAGATAACAACATTTAGGCTCCATTCTTCAGATCATGGGCAACCAGCAACGGCTTTTTGAACCCATGAAATGGGATGGGATGACAGATAAAATTGACCTTTTTTCTTTTTCATTTATTATACTGTAAGTTCCAGGATACATGTGCAGAACGTGCAGGTTACGTAGGTATACATGTGCCATGGTGGTTTGCTGCACCTATCAAACCATCATATAGGTTTTAAGCCCCACATGCATTAGGTATTTGTCCTGATGATATCCCTCCCCTTACCCCCAACCCCCTGACAGGCCCCAGTGTGTGATGTTCCCCTCCCTGTGTCCATGTGTTCTCATTGTTCAATTCCCACTTATGAGTGAGAACATGCAGTGTTTGGTTTTCTGATGTTGTGATAGTTTGCTGAGAATGATGGCTTCTAGCTTCATCCATGTCCCTGCAAAAGACATGAACTCATTCTTTTTTATGGCTGCATAGTATTCCATAGTGTATATATGCCACATTTTCTTTATTCAGTCTATCATTGATGGGCATGTGGGTTGGTTCCAAGTCTTTGTTATTGTGAATAGTGCTGCATTAAACATATGTGTGCGTGTGTCTTTATAGTAGAATGATTTATACTCAGAGCCTTTGCATGTGTTTCAGGATATTCGATGAAATGTGGGTGGGGAAAGGAAGATTTCATCCTGTTGGCATGAAAGGGTCCCAGGGTCACACGATGTTAACTGCAAGATATTTCAGTTTATTGATTATTGCACAAGGTAGGGACAACAATGGGAGTTTCTGCCTGAGAGAAATGAAATAGACCTCATTATTTTAATTAAAACTTTTAGAAGATTTTTTTTTGAAATGTTGCCTGGGGGGTATTTTCTGTATAATTATTATGGAACCATTAGGTGCAGCCACAGCTCAGAATTATTTAACAGACATAACAGACACTCAATGACACAACACCAGAGTCACTTCCTAGATGCAGCGCATCACTTTAGCCTTTTGGTCTGCTTTTTATTTTTTCTTTTCATTGTCCAATTATAAAGTAATGAAATTATCTGCTAAAAGAGATTTATGGTATAAAAGGAAAGTGGGGAGGGAAGGTACTTCAGATTCCCTCTTTTGAAGGGAAAAAAAGTCATTAGAAGTTTACTTTTTCTTTCATCAAAAAGGCAAACCTAATAGTTTTCTGTGTGAAATTCATGTGTACCAGTCCAGTGATTCTCAACCAACTGTGATTTGATCTTAGGGGACATTTATTTGGCAATGTATGTATTAGTTTGCTGGGACTGCCATAACAAAGTACCACAGACTGGGTGGCTTAAACAACTAAAATTTATTTATTTTGTCACAATTCTGGAGGCTGGAATTCCAAGATTAAGGTGTTGGCAGGGTTAGTTTCCTCTGAAGGCTCTCTCCTTGGCTTGTAGATGGCTCTCTTCTCTTTGTGTCTCCACATGGCCTTCCCTCCACCTGTCTATGTCCAAATTTTCTCCTTATAAGGACAACAGCCATATAAAATTAGAGCCCACTCTAATGACCTTATTTAAACTTAAAGACACTATCTACAAAAAAAAAAGTCACATTCTGAGTTAGTAGGGGTTAGAACTTCAACATACAAATTTTGAGGGAACACAATTCACCCTATAAAAGCCTAGAAAAGTATTTATTGTCACAACTGGAAGGAGGGTGGGTGTTACTGGCACTTAGCGGGTAGAGCCAGGGAGGCTGCTAAACCCCCCACAATCTACAGGACAGCCCCCATAACAAAGAGCCATCCATCTCAAAATATCAATAGTGTCAAGACTGGGAAATTCTTTCCTACTTCCAAAGCCAGTAGTTTGATATTTTTTATGCATAAAGAAGAGCAGAATATATTATTCTAGTGAATACTCATATCATGAATTATAGCACAGTCTTCGTTAGGACTCTGCAAATATCCATCTTCATATATCACACACACAAACAATATTTCTTCTCCAGATTTCAAAGCAGCTTCTTGGGAATATAGTGTAAATTGGGTTCTGACATTACTGCACCCCTAAGACAAATTTGGGAAAATTTGTGGGCATCAAAGAGCCCTGTAAACTGTAAAGTTCCAGGCAAATAAGTTACTGTTATAAGAAAAAAAAAGGAACCACCATATAAAATATTAGCACCTTTATCCTTAAAGAAAAAAATTAACTCCAGATGGATTGCAAAGAGGGAAAGACTGAGGCGAAGAAGTCCACTAAGATCCCACTGCTATTGCGTGTCTACTCCCAGAAAAGTGGGAAACTCAGGATTCCAACTGGAGTTGTGGAATCTGGGGCTGGGAGAGAGATGAACCGGTGGAGTCAAGAAGGACCCAAAAACTGAGATCCAAAGGCTAGGTAGAAGCAGAGTAGACTGTTCAGAGAAGGGGACTGAATAAGGAGTCACTCCAAAGGGACTGGCAAAGAGGAAAGCCAGAAATGCCACGAAGGCATGAGAAACCAGAAAAGTGGAGAGGAGACTTTTTCTGGGGTACCTCCTCATGTGTATGGTACTTCTTAAGAGTGAAAATGATCACACAAAGAACCTGAATTTTAAACTACAGCAGCAAAAAAGTGGAAATTAGACCATGGATTTCAATGTGCAGCATAGCAGCAAAGGGGCTGGCCTCACAAGCCTTGGAGTCACACAACTGGGTTCAGACTCTGACTCTGCTGCTTACTGCCGTGTCACCTTGGGAAAGCTACTTAAGTTCTACATGCCTCTGTTTCTTTACCTTTAAAATGGACTGTTGTCTGTAGATTAATTAGGTTGCATGTGTGTGTTTGTGTGTGTGGTGTGTGTGTGTGTACGTGTATGTGAAGTGCTTAGCATAAATAACATCAGTTATGACTACTGTGGAAACATTTCAGAGATATAATCAATAGGACTGATGGCCATTTAGATGAGAGTGGGGATGAATGATAGGATGATGTAAACCAGAGGTTTCTAGCTTGATCAATAGAGAGTATGGAGATGTATTAATCAAAATGAGAAAACAGAAAGGGAAAAGCTGGTTTGGAGAAAAAAGAGAAAATAATGAGTTTAATTTGAGATGTGTTAGGTAACTGGTCAGTTAATCACCTGGAGAAGTTCCTTCAGGAACAGGTAAGAATCTGTAGCTCAGATGAAAGTTCAAGGCTAGAAATTGTTCATAATTTCTTGTGCTTATTGATGTCATGTGGCTAAATAAGATTTCCTAAGAAAAACATGTAGAGAGAAAAAACAGAGGCAGGAGAAATAGAACCTTAGGGTATTCCTGGATGCTTAAGCTTTTCTGATGATTTTAATAATGGTACAGTCCTTTAGAGTTTATAAAGCACTACACTATCTTGGGGGAAAGAAACTGGTTGCCCTTGAGAGTTTTTGAGATATGTAGAACTGTTATGCTAAACGATCAAACAGCTATATGGTTGATATCACTATTAATATTTGAGCTTTTAAATCTGTTTTCCCACATTATTGCCAGCCCTATTGAGTCCACCTCCTACTGGTAATTCACTGCTATGGATTTAAAACCGAAACAAACACCAAGAGCGCTTAAATAAGGAATACTTCCCTCTGAGTGGGGTCTTTTCCTCTTCAGGAAAGTGCATAAACCTTTGTGCCCGAGGTTACAGGCTTTTGATTCTGGATGTTCACAAAGGGTTTGGTTTGCTGTCATTATTGTTTTCTGTGTATGTTTTGCTTTGGTTTTGTTGTGTTGACTGCTTGCTTCCTTCTCTATTTTGGGATGTGAGCTGAGTACACACGGTTCCTACGAAAGTGACCTCTCCACAAATAACTACATCTACATCTATCATTTTGTTGTTGACATAATATAAATAGGGCAGAGGAATGCCCAGTCACATTAACTATTTCTATCTATGGAGATTAGAATGATAATGTAAAAATTTTCAAACGAGCTTTGGTTTAAGTGTCTCTTCGAAGTTCCCACTAAAAAATTAACATGCTATTAATATAACCATTTAATACGTGACCAGTAGAACCTAAGCCAGCTAGCTCTAAACATTTTTTAGAATTATCCTATAATTTAAAAACAAATTTTCAAGATAACTATAAACATCAATATGCTAGCATTACCATACTCTTGATATATCTGTATAGGCAAGAGTTGTAATTTGTAAAAACATTAAGGGATTCTATGCCAGACAGTAAATATCTCAGGTAAAAAAGAGAAAGAGAGGGAAAGTCTATGTTATTATAATGATAATAATAGCAAATATGTAGTGTTTATAATGTACTAGGTATTGTTTTAAGTACTTTACATATATTAGCTCAATTATTTCTGTTAAAGAAAAATCTGAAACACAATAAAATTTTAAAGAGTTCATTTGTGTAAGAAGTAATTTATGAATTGAAGAATACCAGACCAACAGAAATTTAGTGTTCCAATGTCAGAACATCAGAAGCAAGCATTTAATTTAAAAAAATGAGGAAATAAAATGAAGAAATTTGGGGCTAGGTACAGTGGCTCATGCCTGTAATCCCAGGACTTTGGGAGGCTGAGGCAGGAGGATCACTTGAGGTTACAAGTTCAAGACTAGACTGGGCAACATATTGAGACGCCATCTCTGCAAAAAATAAAATAAAATACAATAAAAATTAGCCAGGTGTGGTGGCATTCACCAGTACTCCCAGCTACTGGAGAGGCTGAGGCAGAAGGATTGCTCAAGCCCAGGAGGGTGAGGCTGCTGTGAAGCATGATTGTGCCACTGCACTCCAGCCTGGGCAACAGAGCAAGACCCTGTCTCAAAAACAAAAAAGAAATCTGATTGGCTTACACAATTATCTTTTTTTTTTTTTTTTGAGAGGAAGTCTCACTCTGTCTCCAGGCTGGACTGCAGTGGTGCAATCTCGGCTCACTGCAACCTCTGCCTCCTGGGTTCAAGTGATTCTCCTGCCTCAGCCTCCCGAGTAGCTGGGATTACAGGTGTCCGCCACCACACTCAGCTAATTTTTTGTATTTTTAGTAGAGACAGGGTTTACTATGTTGGCTAGGGTGGTCTCGAACTCCTGACCTTGTGATCCGTCCACTTTGGCCTCCCAAAGTGCTGGGATTACAGGCGTGAGCCAGCACGCCAGGCCAATTAAGGCTGCTTTTTAAGATCTAGCTGGTTTTATTTGTTCAACAATTTTTCAGGCCTTATCTATATTTTAATTTTACTTTAATAATTCCCCCTTTTTGCTCATCCTCTCAACAAGCTGAAAGTGTGACCAAATAGCATACTGTTACTCTCAGTTGCCGCTGTTGACACAGTTACTGGGATATAAAGTCAGGTAGATGTTGTTATCATCATTAGAGTCATATCGCTGCCATCAGGAAGTACATAGTCAGTGTCCTCGAGTTGTCTGAGCCCGACAGCAATCGTTTGACATGTGAGTGGCTGTTAAAAAATATTAAAAACCTGTGAGAGGATAAAATGCACCAGGGGAGTCAACATCATGACTATAAAGAAAATAAAAATCAAAGGTTGAAAAATTCCTCTGAGCAAAATTTCCAGGAGCCATGATTTTACCAACTGCATAGATCAATGGAGGAGGCAGTGCTTATCTGATGTAAAATCTGGATTTATTTGTTAATATTCTTTACATTTTGGGCAACAATATCTGATTCGTCAACATAAAAACAACTTTTTTTGTCTTTTTTACCATGTAGGGCACAATTGTGTTGTGCTGTGTTGAGCAGCTAAAAATATCAAGAACCCGTTTATTTTGGAGTGCCACTGAGGTCAAATTATTTATCTCAGATTGTACTCCTTGAAGAGAATTTAAAGTATCATTAAAACTTCTTTAAAAAGTTGTTGAAATACTAATAAGTTATTTTTTCAATTCGGAGACTTCTAGCTGAGAAAAAAAAAAAGAGGGGCTCTTACAATAGAATGGAATTTGAAAACGCCTTTGTATGCTCAGGTTTGGAAGACCACAGAGGGCTCCTTTATGAGGGCCACTTCATGTACAAATGACCCTAAGTTAAGGATTTCACTAGCATTTAAAGAGTCATATCTGGTCATTTCGGGTAAGAGATAGCCCAAACCACAGTATCCAGACCATTTAGGTGGAAAACCTTTATATATTTTGTTGTCACACAAGATGAACAACCCAGCATTATTGAGAGAAAAAGTCAAAGGGGATCCCATGACTCACCAGTTGGGAGTAATATAAATGTCATGGTTATTTTTTGTCATCTCTACATTTGTACATTACCAGGTTGAATGGTTATGGTTTAAATTAGAATAGGAACAAAAATAATTTTATAAATGTGATAAAGTAACCCATGCATACCATCACTAAACAAGGATGATTGGCTTTCTTTTCAAACATGTCTCAAATATTGCTCTATTCAATAAACAAAAGTATTAATTTTATACAGTGAAACCATGGGGGAATTTCATTTGTCTTCAGTGTTTTCACTGAACAGTACTTTTAGTGATTTTTGTCTGTTTTGTTTTGTTTAGAGACAGGGTCTCACTCTGTCACTTAGGCTGGAATGTAGTGGCATAATCATAGCTCACTGCGGCCTCAAACTCCTGGGCTCAAGCAATCCTCCCACCTCAGCCTCCCAGGTAGCTGGAGCTATAGGCCCATGCCACCACACCCGGCTCATTTTAAAATTATTTCTGTACGAGGTCTCACTTTGTTGCCCAGGCTCATCTCTAACTCCTGGCCTCAAGCGATCCTCCCACCTTAGCCTCCGAGGGATTGTGTTAGTCACCACACCTGGCTGAATTTTCTAATGATATGTTCAAGGATATCATGGTCATGTTTTCATGTCGTATCTGTGTTATTATACATAGGGGTCCAGTCTTCATAATCTGTGTCAAACCAAAGGGTTTGATTACAGAGGGAGTCTAGAATACTCCCTAGATTGAACCCAATTCTGTGAAGGTTTTCTATGCGTAAGGATAAATTAGCAGTAATAAAATCAACAGTAGTTATACGCCATCCCCTTTTCTTTAATAGCTTCTTTCTAATGCTAGTCTATTATAAATAGGAACTGAACTGCCAAGAGGAGGGTACCAAGCTTTTTTAGAAAGCCAGTTTCCTGAATTGCTCACCCAGGTATGTGTGGGAGCAAGTTTTAATATTAACTGTGTTTTTTCCTGTTCATCCAGATGACTATATAGGCAGCAATTGCTTTGGTTAGTGAGCTATACTTTGAACAGTAGACTTTAGAGGATGTTCAGTTTGAGGAGTGAAAGTCCCCAACTAAGTAAGAGTACAAGTTTGAACATTTTGTATTAAATGTAAAACAAAAACAAGTCTTTAGCCAATGGAAAATAGTGACATGAAGTCTTGTTTGGTGATCTTGGGAAAGCTGTCTACTGTGTGATGCCATCTACTTAAGTCACCTATAGGTTGACAAGCCCAAAAGTCTAAGGGAGCTTTCTTTAGTTGAGAGACATGACCTAAGTTTCAAGACTCTGAAGTTTTGCTGCAGTGTGAGTAGTAAGAAGAAATAGTATGGTCCCTTTCAATGAGGCTCAAGGGCAGTTTTTCTCTGGTGTCATTTTCAAAAGACCCAGTTTCCACGTTCTAGGCCATGGAAGGTTTGATCATCAGCAGATGGGTCATGGGAAGCTTTCTTCACCTGGTGAAAATATACTTTGGCAAAATGCATCAATGTTTTGCAGCATTGATTTATATTAGTAAATAAGTCCAGGAGATACATGAGGCTCTATTTTCAAAGACACGGGTCTCCTTGTTATTATTTTATAAGGGGCCAATTTGTAATTTCCCATTGGGGTTGATCTAATTGCAATTAAGGCCAGTGGTAAAACTTTTGGCCAAGTTAATCCAATAAACTTTATTAATTTAGGTAATTTTAGTTTCAAGATGCCATTCATCCTTGTAACATTTTGAAAGGACTGAGGATGATAAGGGCAATGGTAATGCCATTGGATTTGTAAAATCTTATTTAATTGTTTCATAACCTGTCTAGTAAAGTGAGTTCCCCTATCTTTGGAAATCTGTCCAGGGATGCCCACAGAGGAAAAATGATTTTAAATAAAATTATTATTACTGTTGTGACATCAGCTTTTCTACAAGGGAAAGCCTTAATCCATTCTAAAAACAGACACACTATCACAATAATATATTGTTATCCCACTAAGGGTGGCAATCAAATGAAATCCATTTGTAGATGTTTAAATGGCCCAGCAGGTGATGGAAATATACCACTTGAATCTTTAAGGGTCTTTCTGGGATTACTGGTTTGACAAGCCACACAATGGTTATAAAACATTTTTGTTGTTTTAGAATAACCATCCCACCAGTACTTTTTAACAATTTGAACCATTTTATCCATACAATGATGAGTAATGGCGTACAGGACTTTTAAGAGTGGCATTTTCAGGGCCTCAGGAAGGATTAGGCAGCTATCCAAGCTCTTGGTGAGTCCTTATTTAGCATTAAATTTGCATCCTTTTAGACAACATTTTTGTTGTTCCAATTCAGGTGCACAGCATTGTTTATTGAACAAATGATCATAAGTAATTTGATTTGAATTGATTTTATAGAGTTCATACAGATTGCATATTTTAACAATTTCAGTGGTAGTCAACTTGGCATGAAAGTCTTCTAATCCCTTCCATTAATATTTAGGTTTAGTTTTATGAATATGAGCTTCAGTTTTAGTAATAGCAACCCATCAGGGCAGTAGAAGAGCCAAAAGAAATTAATCTACCTGTGACCCTTCTTGATGGGATTTCCACTAGAAATGAGAAATACTTTTTGTTTCAATAACACTCCAAAATCATGGACCACTCCAAAAGTGTATCTATTGTCTGTGTAAATGTTAACTTAGGCCAGGCATGGTGGCTCACACCTGCAGTCCCAGCACTTTGGGAGACTGAGGTGGGAGTATCCCTTGAGCCCAGGACTTTGAGATCAGCCTGGGCAACATAGTGAGAAGCCATCTCTGCAGAAAAAAGAAGAAGAAGAAGAAGAAAATTAGACAGGTCATGGAATGGTCGTCATCCTCCCACCACAGCCTCCGAAGTAGCTGGGACTATAGGAATGGTGGCACATGCCTGTTGTCCCAGCTACTTAGGCTGAGGTGGGAGCATCACTTGAGCTCAGGATATTGAGGCTTTGGTGAGCCATGATCACACCACTATCCTCCAGCCTGGGCAACAGATTGAGACCCAGCCTCAAAAAAAAAAAAAAACCCATAAAAATCAAATAGTAACTATTTGGTTTTGGCTATATGACAAGGCCTAGTTAAGAGAATATAATGTTGCAGGTTGTGCTAACTTAAACTGTGAAAGAGTTCCCTTTTCTGTTAGTTCATACTGAGTGGTTACAGCATATTCTGTTTCGTATCTCCTTTGTATATTTTTTGGCATAAGACCCATTAACAAAAAGTATTAATTCAGGACTATCTAATAGAATCTCCCATAAATCAGTGTGAGGGGTCAATAGTTGTGATACCACACTCACACATTTATGGTTTTCTCCATCATTAGGCAGAGTGACAGGGCTAATCAGAGATTACAATATTCGAGATGGAGATTTGGAGTTTACAGGAGAAAGATGTCATAAGATGTTAGTCTGCTTGGGTCTGACTGGAATCTAATAAATGTATAACGGTATGTTGAACTCGTAGGTAAAGTTTCATTTCCTAACACTAGGTCAGATGAGGTTTCTTCTAATTTAGCTGCTGCTGCAACTATTTTCAGACAACTTGAATATGCTCTGGCCACTAGATCTAACTGGAGACTCTAATAAGCAATCAGTCGCTTTCTTTCCCTGTGTTCCTGAGCCAGGACTCCCAAGGCCTAACCATCATGTTTGTAAACAAACAATGTAAAACATTTTGTATAATTCAGAAGGCTTAAAGCTGAAGGCTGTTGTAAGGCCAGTTTTATTTGATGGGAAGTTTGTTCATGATTACCTTCCCATAGCAAAGACTTTGATATGGTTTGGCTGTGTCCCCACCCAAATCTCATCTTGAATTGTAGCTCCCATAAAACCCACATGTCATGAGAGGGACCTGGTGGGAGGTAATTGAATGATGGGGGTGGGTTTTTCCAATGCTGTTCTCCTGATAGCGAATAAGAGATCTGATCGTTTTATAAAGGGCAGTTCCCCTGCACATGCTCTCTTGCCTGCCACCATGTAAGACATGCCTTTGCTCCTCCTTTGCCTTCTGCTATGATTATGAGGCCTCCCCAGCCATATGGAACTGTGTGAGCTCATTAAACCTCTTTTTCTTTATAAATTACCCAGTCTTGGGTATTTCTTCATAGCAGTGTGAAAATGAACTAATACAGACTTTAAGACAGATTTTTTGTAAGTTTATATAAGGGGGATGCCAACAGAAAAATGTTGAAGACCCAAGTTTTATAGTATCCCCAAAGTCCAAGGAATCCTTTTAATTATCTCTTAGTCATGAGTCTAGGGAAACCTTAGATTGACTTTTTTTTTGTTCAGGTGAGAGGGAAATTCTCTTTCCAGTCAAATCATGTCTTAAGTAATAGACCTTTTCTTTAGAGAATAAAGTTTTTCCATGGAGGCTTTATGTCCCTTGTAAGGTAATGGTTATAAGAAAGAAGTTGAATCTATGACAGAGTTTTATCTGGTAGAAGAACATAACTATAAATTATTTACATATTAAATAGTAGTAGAATTTCTAGGAAATTGTGAGATTGACAGGTCTTGGTGTAATGCCTGAGAAAAATAACATGAGGCATCAGTGGACCCCTGTGGCATTACAGTCCAGGTGTATTGCTGTTTTTTCCAAATAAAGGCAAACAAGTATTGGCTCTTCTTATCAAGTGAAATGCTAAAGAAGACAGAGCAGACATCTATCACTGTGAATCATTTGGCAGCTGTAGGCACACTAGATAACAAAGTGTTAGGATTTGGAACCACAGGAAATTTTGGAATTATAATTGAATTTGTTGCACATAAGTCTTGAACAAATCTCCAACCTCATCCATTAGCTCTTTTAGCTAATAGAATTGGAGTATTATAGTGACTAGTACAAGTAATTACAAATATTTGTTTTATTAACTCCTCTACAATTGGTGAAAGTCCTTGGATTGCCTCTAACTTTAGGGGTAAATGGGGAAATTTAGGCAATGGCTTAGAATGGTCTAGTTGGATATTTATAGGTTCAGGACTTATCATTTTTTCTGTCAGTTGAGGAGGAAGCCCACAGATATTGGGGTACTCCAGAAAGGTTGGGGTTGGTATAAGTTTGGCTTTCAACGTTATCAACTCCCACTCGTAAGAACAAAGCAGTTTAGGTTCAGGAGGATCAGAGACCTCTAGGGTTACTTTTCCTTCTGAAGAGAGTTTTATGTGTCTTCTTAGGTTAGAAAGCAAATCTCATTCCAGTATCTTTACTGGAGTGGTGTCACATAGTAAGAAGGCATGCTTCTCTGAAACTAGTTCAGCATTTCAACTGGTTTAGACATAGGAATTCTCTGAATTTGATTTGAAACCCCCACCACAGAAATATTTTTTCACTCCAAGAGATGTGTTGGTTTATTAGGGTGGGGTTTAAAGTGGATAAGGTGGTTCCAGTATCCACCAACACTGTGTATACATGACTCCCCATTGATCTTGATCTGAGTTTCCTTATAAACATAAGGGTATTATAGGAAGTAACTTACCAGAGAATCCCTCAGAACCCCATTCATGTTAATTATTGTCTTGAGAGTCAAACCGATGGGAATTTTCTCTAACAGAGGAAGTTAGGGACTGATACTAGAGTGGACAATCTTTTTTCCAATGGCCTGACTGTTTCTAATGATGGCAGACATCTTAAGGTACAGGTTTCTTTGTTCAGGACCTCTTGATTTTGAGTTATGATATGCATGAAGAGGCCCTCTTGGACTTTGTCCCTGTAGCTGTTGCAGCTGTAAACATAGAAGCCTTTGATATTTTTTCTTTTAGCGTTTCACCTTTTTCTTGTTCTAAAGTTCTCTAAAAATGTTCAACCATGATGACTAATTCAGCTGTATCAGTAACTTCCCATCCAATCTTTCATTTTTTAATCAGGTCACCAAGCTTTGGTCAGAGCCCATGAATGAATAAGTCTGTAAGAGCTATTTCAGTTTCAGCAGAAAATTTTCCCTGCTGTATTTTAAGACCAGAATGTTTAACAAATCTAGCCTTGTAATCAGAAACTAATTTATTTCTTTTTATTTGTATACATAGTTGAATAACGGACCAATCTTTTGTGGGAAGACAATAGGGATCGTTTCCAGCAGTTTTTCGGCTATTTTTCTGGCATCTTTTTTACCATCCCTAGAAGTAACTATTGAAGAGTCAGCAGTCCTTTCCTCAGGCTTATCCCATCCTGCTCTTTTTATCCATTTGTGTACGTCTCTGGGTCTTAATATTATGTGTATAAACTGATATAAATCAGGAAACACAGGGTCATAGACTCCTATGAGGATTCTCAATTCCTCAGAAAATTTTTGTGTATTTTCTTTGCAATTTGGAAAATATTTTGCTATGGCTCTGAGTTCAGTTTTTGACCAAGGAATAAAATTATTTATAGGAGCCAAACCTGGGTATTCTGAGGGCCTAACTTTATGAGGCATTTACTTAACTTCCTTCCTCTCTTTATGCTCCAGATAAAAATGTAATTGAGCAAAAGGATTAGTAGGCTTAGGAGAAAGAGATGGTTTCACAAATGAGTTTGTGGATTTAGAATAATTAGGTAGAGGAGAATAAAGGCAGGAAACAAAGTCACATCAGTTACCACATAATTTCCTTACTGTTGCCCTCAATTTATTGCTTAAGCTTTTCAGTTGTCTTATTTGATTTTAGTAAATAAGCTTTTTTTTTTTTTTTCGAGACAGGGTCATGCTCTGTCGCCTAAGCTGGAGTGCAGTGGTGCCATCACAGCTCACTGAAGCGGTGACCTTCTAGGCTCAGGTGATCCTCCCATCTCGGCCTATCAAGTGGCTGGGACCACAGGCATGGGCCACCATGCCCAGCTAATTTTTTGATTTTTTTTTTTTTTTTTTGAGATGGAGTCTCGCTCTGTCCCCCAGGCTGGAGTGTAGTGGCGTGATCTCGGCTCACTGCAAGCTCTGCCTCCCGGGTTCACGCCATTCTCCTGCCTCAGCCTCCTGAGTAGCTGGGACTACAGGCACCTGCCACCATGCCCGGCTAATTTTTTATACTTTTTTTAGTAGAGACAGGGTTTCACCGTGTTAGCCAGGATGGTCTTGATCTCCTGACCTCGTGATCTGCCCGCCTCGGCCTCCCAAAGTGCTGGGATTACAGGCGTGAGCCACTGCGCCCGGCCTTGATTTTTTTTTGTAGAGACTAGGTCTCACTATGTTGCCCAGGCTTGTCTTGAACTCCTAGGCTAAAGCAATCCTCCCACTGAGACCTCCCAAAGTGTTGAGATTACAAGCATGAACCACTGAACCACTGCGCCTGGCTTGAGTAAAGAGTCTTTTAGAGAGGCAATTTTGGATCAGCTAGTTCTTTGTAAGCCTCTGTATGCCAATCAAAAAATGCATGCCATTGTTTCTGAGGTATTTAAGATCCATTCTTTTCCATTATGCCCCATAAATAAACAATTTTATCTAGATTAAAACTTCCCCGTTGTGGCCACTGCAACTTCAAATTATTTCTTGTAGGCACACCCATTTTTCTAGAATGGCACAAGTTTGTGGTCTATAATTTCTAAATAAAAAATTTGCTGGTGTTCCCAGCAGAGGAGTCCCAGGCTCCTTAGATATTGACAAACCCATAATATCCTGTCTTTTTAAAATTCTATCTACCTGAGGCTTCCAACTACAAACTCAGTCTAGTTCCTATTGAATACCCAGTTTAACCTCGAGATCCCAATCTGGATTCCAGATCTATTCTGGAAACTAGTGCACTAGACTGGACCTAGTCTAGTTTATGTCAAGCACTCAAATTTGATCTCTGGTTACAACAGGGAATAAAATGATTCAGATAAACTTGGAGAGCTCAGGACACAAATTGTGGAGCTTGAAATCTGAGAGGGACTTAACCAGGACCTCCAGATGCAGTGAGAAAGCAGTGAGCTCCATGGACTCAGCAGGTACCTTTTGCCTGGTTCCTTGATACACCCGGTGGCATGGCCCAAGGATTTGGGGCGTAGTCGGGGGGGGTCTCCTTTGAATCCCACTTCTGACACCAAACTTAAAGAAAATCTAAAGCACAGCAAAATTTTAGAGTTTATTTGAGTAAGAAGTAATTCATGAGTTGGGGAACACCAGACCAACAGAGATTTCGCATTCCAGTGCAGAACATCAGAGGCAAGCATTTATGGGAAGATGCAAAAGTAAAACAAAGAAATCAGATTGACTTACAGTTACATAATTATCCTTTTGGGGGTACTTTTTTGGGAAGTTCTTAGTCACATAATTATATCTTAGTTGGCTGCTTATGATTGACTAGAGTTAAGTTTAATTTCTGTTCAACATAAACATTTACCAGAAACGTCCCAAGTTAAGTTTAGCTTATATCTGCAGTGTGACCCCAGTCAGGTTCCACCTATATTTGCAATTTAAGCTAGATGAAAGCTACTTTTAAGCCCTAGCTGGTTTTGCTTGCTCAGAAATTTTTCAGGCCTGGTCTCCATTTTAATTTTACTTTAACATTTCTCATAACAATTTTATGAAGTAGTTACTATTATCTCTATTTCACAGATGATGCAGATGAGGGAACTGAGGTACAAAGATGTTAAATAACTTCCTCAAGGTTACTCAACTCTGAAATATCAAGGCCAGGACTCAAACTAAGACAAAATATCTACAGAATACACACTTTTAACTATTAGACTATTAACTCTTTCAAAAGAATTCCTTTGAAACCCCAGGAGAAGTAATATTAGAAAATGAGAGTAATATTAGAAAAAGAAAGATTATTAGCCCTTTCCTTACTTATCAGTGTATAGTTTCACTTGTTACAGCAAGTATGTTTTACTTCTAATTCAAAGGTCATCAAATAAGATAAAATGTTCTGCTGGCACTTTGCAAAAAAAGGGTATCCTGATGGTCAAAGTCACGTGAAAAGATGCTCAGCTCTATGAGACATGAGGAAAATGCAAATTATAACCACGATGTGACATCACTGTACATGCCAAAATGACTAAAATAAAAAAGAGAAAAAAGCCAGGCAAGGTGGCTCACGCCTGTAATCCCAGCACTTTGGGAGGCCAAGGCAGGCAGATCACCAGGTCAGGAGATCAAGACCATCCTGCCTAACATGGTGAAACTCTGTCTCTACCAAAAATACAAAAAATTAGCTGGACGTGGTGGCACATGCCTGTAGTACCAGATACTCGGGAGGCTGAGGCAGAAGAATCACTTGAACCCAGGAGGTGGAGGTTGCAGTGAGCTGAGATCACACTGCACTCCAGTCTGGGCAACAGAGGAAGACTCCATCTCAACAAAAAAAAAAAAAAAAAAAAAAGAGAGAGAGAGAGAAATGATAACAATTTTGGTGACAACAAATGGAAACTACTGGATATGAAATAATTGGTATTCTTATAGGCTACTTGTGGGAGTATAAATTGATATAACCACTTTAGAAAACTATTTGGCAGTATCTATTAAAGCAGACATATGCATACACCAATAGTCAGCAATTCTACTCCCAGATATGTACCTAACAAATATGTACACATATGAATGTTCAATAAATGTGTTTAAGAATACTTATAGCAGTACTGTTCATAATAGTCACAAACTAAAAACAATCCAAATCTCCATCAACAGTTGAGTGGGTACATAAATTGTGGTGTAATGATAAAATGAAACACTATGTTGCATTAAGAAGGAACAAACTATTGCTATGCACAACATAAGGATAAATCTAACAAATATAATGAGTGAAGAAGCTAGACACAAAAATGTCTATAAATGATTTCATTTACAGAAAGATTAAAAAGAAGCAAAACTAATATGAAACGTTAGATGTCAGGAGAATGGTTACTTTTGGTGGGGAGCAATGAATGGAAGGGAACATGAGGGGGTTCTGAGGTGATGTCAATATTCTATTTCTTGATTTGTGCTAGTTAATGAGGTGTGTTCATATTGTGAAAATTCATCAGGGGCCAGGCGCAGTGGCATGCCTGTAATCCCAGCACTTTGGGAGGCCAAGGTGGGAGAATCAACTGAGCCAAGGAGTTCAAGACCAGCCTGGGCAACATAGTGAGACCTCATCTCTACGAAAAAAAAAATTAATTAGCCAAGTATGGTAGTGCAAACCTGTGGTTCCAGCTATCCGGCAGGCTGAGGTGGGGAGATAACTTGGGACTTGGAGGTTGTGGCTGCAGTAAGCCATGATCATGCCAGTGCACTCCAGCCTGGGTGACAGAGTGAAACCTTAGTTGAAAGAAGAAAAGAAAGAAAGAGAGAAAGAGGAAGGAAGGAAGAAAGGAAGGAAGGAAGGAAAGAAGGAAGGAAGGGAGGGATGGAGGGAGGGAGGAAGGAAAATTTATCCGGCCGGACACAGAATTTATGCATTTTCCTGTATATGTTATACTTCAATAAAAAAAATTCTTAAGGATACAGTGTTTTGGAGTTAAAAATGATAACATTTTTAAAGTACCTGGAAATAATACTATTCATACTATAATAAAATGCTACTCAAGCCTGCACCTTGCCTTTTGAGATTCACAAGAAGTATATTATCTCTAGAAGTATATGTGAAAAGTGATCGATTAAAAAGTGCTGGAATGGCTCCAGCCAAGATCCATTGTTGTCAAAGGTATCTGGCAGAGAGCTAAATGCTACTGGATCTCCAAAGACAAATTTAAAATGATTATACTTAGAAGAAATAGGAATTGCACTGTGCTGCTAAAGATGTAAATATTTGTCTTCGACTGTGGCAGAGATTAAAGAAAGAGCATCAATTTTTTTTGTTTCCTTAATTTTTTAAAATAGTAACACTGTAAAAAGGACTTCCTTGTTCACTGATTCAAATACCAAATCTCAACTATGGCTGAATTTTAAGATGATGAACAAAGTACCTACTTTAGTCATCTCCCTCACAACAAATCCATAGAAATGATAGGAAACATACTTCAGAAGAAGAATAAGAAGAAAGAGAAAAGAAGGAGAAAAGAAGGGGGGAGCAGAAGGAAAAAGAGGAGGAGAAGCAGCAGTTAGTGGCACTTAGGCATGGGGGTAGAAGGGCACCTTTCAATGAATGAGAATCTTTGAGGAATCCCTAGGAAAGAAAACAAATAGGATCGACTGAAAAGGAAAATTTAATTACAAGCAAAAACAATCACTGTGAAAGGTGAGCAAAACACAAAGAGAGTTTGCTCCCAAGAGTATTTTATTTCAGAAGAGTTCTATACCTCATGCTCTTAGAGGCAGTATAGCCATTTGTCCAGGCTGCTACAACAAATTAGCATAAACTGGGTGTCTTAAACAACAAAAACATATATCTCACAGTTCTAGAGGCTGGGAAGTCCAAGATCAAGGTACCAGCAGATCCAGTGTCCTCTGGGGGTCAGCTCCCTCAGTTTTCAGTTGACCAACTTCACATTGTATCCTTAACATGGTTCCATAGTGTAGTGGTTAGCATTTTTGTTTTACACACATTGTATCCTTAAGTGGCAGACAGTGGAGCCCTCTCATGTCTCTTTTTGTAAGGACACTAATCTCATCATGGGGGCTCCTCTTTCATGACCTAATTACCTCCCAAAGGCACCATCTCCAAATATCACCACTTTAGGGATTCAGGGTTTAGCATATGAATTTGGGGGAACACAAACCTTCAGTTTATAACACACAGTAATGTGCTGTATTATGCTAAAGGGGAAGGGATCCATAAGGAAGGCTAATAAGGAGGAAGGTATGGGTATGGTAAGCAGGGGACAAAGGAGAACATCCTTGGTGGTCCGAAGAATCCCAGTTATTTCCATGCAGTAAGAGGACAGGTGCCCCATGGGCATGATGGGAGTGGTCATTGATGAAGAGGTTCAAGGCAAGTGGTAAAGGCTCGCAGCAGTTCCCATGGGAGTAAGTTGAGCAACAGCAAAGCACAGAATTGGGCACTGGTGTTACAAACACACGAAGACCGTGAATTTATAGTCACCGATCTGCACATTTATGAGGTTTTTTTTATTTTCTGGTAGCACTCAGTATCCTGGGATAATAACAGAGAAGATAAAGGAATCATGGTGTTTTTCCAGAGCTGAGGTTTTTCCAGGAAAGTAAAACAAAAGACAGGGGCTAGGGAGTTGAGAGTATTGGTGACATGGTGATCCAGGAGAGCAACAGCCTAGGTTTTGGGGCTAAGATGAGCTTTGATACAGGATATATCAAAGGACTGGAGGTTGAAATAGAGAACAATGAAGATGGAAAGATAAGAGGTTGTGTCATAATGGCAAGGGTCTGTTGAACTAGATCTTGAATGGCCTTGGAAGAGATATGGGGGAGTGGTAATTTGGAAATGGAGAGGATAATGCATTCCAGGGAAGAGAACCACACATGTAAAGACACATGCAAAGGGAAACGGTAAGAATTTCCATGTAACTAGATCACACATTGCATGGAGGAAAGTGGCATGAGATCAAGATAGAAACCCACATTAAACCAGATTGTGAAGAGCCTAAGGAGTTTGGGCATCATTTCCTCCCAGAGGCAGGAGCCAACGGAAGTTCTCAGATAGTGCTGTCCTGTATGGCTACCGTTGGACAGGTTGTATCCTGCACAGAGTCTCCTTCATGGGGTCTAAACTCTAGATCGAGCTCTGCTTGCCAAGCCATTCATCCTGCTTGCTCTGTAGCTGTTACCCCAGGAGGAAGAGGGTATTTTCTTTAATTCTTCAGCCCCTCAAGAGAGGGAGCCCTCTTTTAATTCATCTACCTGAGGGGCTGCATTCCTTTTTGGGTAGCAGTGGCTCTGTGTAGAGTGATGACCAGACAGACTTCTCAGGGCGACTTTTCTGGCCGTGGTGTAGAAGATGACCCAGAATGAGGAGACACAGTAAACATGGAGAGCAGAACAGTTTTCAGCAGTACAAGGGCTTAACCAAAGGCAGCCAAGAAGAAAGAAAAGGGGCCAGATCCGGAAGCGAACTCTGTAGTACAATTAACACCAGGGGGCTTATGGACATAGGGATGGTGGGAAAGGGAAAAGTTAAAGATGACTCAGATATATTCTCCACTGTGTTCCTAGAATAAAACCTGACCACATTAATGCTCAGTTAACATCTGTAAAATGAAAAAAAAAATAGAGCTTCAAGTAACAAAAACATTTTTAAGGGAAAGATACTGTCTGCTGGGATGGAACCCATAGGAACCCATAAGAAACAGTACCTTTAATTATCTTAAGCTTCCTCAGTTTCGAGTTGTAGAGGTCAGATAACTGGCCTAGAAATTTAGAGTTACTCCAGACAGTTGTTTTCAGCCCTGGCTGAACATTCGAGTCACCTGAAAAGCTTTTAAAAACTCCAGTGCCCACACTGGATCAGTTAACTCCAAAATCCTGGGGATGAAACTTAGACATCAACATTTTTTAAGACAGAGGCTCACTCTGTCACCCAGACTGAAGTACAGTGGTGTGACCATGGCTCACTGCAGCCTCAACCTCCCAGGCTCAGGTGATCCTCCCATCTC
Source organism: Homo sapiens (assembly GCF_000001405.40). NCBI lineage: Eukaryota > Metazoa > Chordata > Mammalia > Primates > Hominidae > Homo > Homo sapiens. Next base: position 71,500,555 of record NC_000012.12, read on the forward strand.
AGCCTCCTAAGTAGCTGGGACTACAGGCACACACCACCACATCTAGCTAATTTTTATTTATTTATTTATTTTTATTTTTTATTTTTTTGTAGAGATGAGGTCTCCCTGTGTTGCCCAGGCTGGTCTCAAACTCTTGGCCTTAAGAAATCCTCCCACCTCAGCCTCCCAAAGTGCTGGGATTACAGATGTGAGCCACTGTGCCAGTCCAGACATCAACATTTTTTAAAGCTCCTGGGTTGGTTCCTATATATAACAACTGCTCTCATGGAATTTGCAATCTCTATTCTAGATTTCTAGACGTGATCAGTAATATAGCATAGATAAGAGGTGGATCAGAGACAGGGCAGAATGGTTTAACTTATTTGACCATCTTGTCACAACGGAAATCAATCATCCATTTCTTACAAAATCCTTTTACATAGTGACCAGTTCTTCAAAATTAATTTCTACATCTTGACAAAACATCAAGAAATTCATTATGTGGCTTCATTGATTTTTAGGAAACTGAATTATGGGCAAGATATGTTTTAAAAAAACAGAGCATTTTAAAATCATTACTTAAAGAGTAAATAATGCACAGGCTTGGAAATTATTTTAAGACCCCCTCATTTGCTGCTAAGGTTATGTGTGTACCAGGTGTCAAAAAGACCAAATGCTATAGAAAAATAAAAGGAATGGTTTAAAAATAATTTAAGGGTCAGAATGAAGATATTTTGCATAAATTAGAAAGGTGGTACACAAAAATAAAGAAAGCAAAACAAAACAAAAAACCCTAGGGCCTAGACCTCGGTTCTAGGCCTGGCCTTTCCCCCTAAATATTGCACTGAAACTTAGAGGCCACCTCACCTCACTGAGCCTCATTTTCCTCACCTATAATGAGCATTCTCACCCTGGTGAGTTTCAGTCCTCTCTAACAGCCAAACATTCTCTAATTCTATCATTGGTAAGTCAAAGATGAGCAGGCTAAAAGTAATTTAAGCCTCACCATTCTTGATATGAAGGCAAGAGGAGCATCGCTCACCAAAGAGAAGTCAAGGACCCACCCCAGGCCACAGCTGTTTTTATTGATCCACAAAGGATAAGAATTTCAGAGTAAAGTCTGGAAACTTTTGTAGTCATTTAACTATTTCTGTTAAATCACATAATAAAATATTGAGCCTTGTATTTTGTATATCTTTGTATTTTTATTTCACCTTTTTAGTAATCAATTTTTATTATAGTTTATAATAGTGTAAGTCCACAGCAAATTAGAAATTTAAAAAATTTCGTCTTTCACCGTGGATAGTTTGGAATACACTGAGCTGGAGAACCATAATTACATTTTAACATCAATGTAAAAGTGCACACAGAAGGGAAAAAAGCAAATGCAGGCAAATTAATTTTTACCTTGTCCATTTTGAATTTTATTTTAGAGGCCCATTTCATTTGGTCTTAGATCATTGCTATTAAAAGTTATTTTCTGCTACAAGTTTATATGAACTGCTAGAGGCTTTTTAAAAGAAAACAGCCTGTATTAGAAAACAGGTGGTAAGGGGTTGGTTTTCTAGTACTAGGTCATTATCTAAGAGGAATTACAATATGATATGTCAGGTAGCACAGTAAAGTTATTAATTCCTGTTGGAAAAGATAGGTACTTTCCTTTTTTTTTTTTTTTTTTTTTGAGACAGAGTTTCGCTCTTGCTGCCCAGGCTGGAGTGCAATGGTACAACCTCAGCTCACTGCAACCTCTGCCTCCTGGGTTCAAACGATTCTCTTGCCTCAGCCTCCCAAGTAGCTAGGATTACAGGTGCCCACCACCATGCCCGGCTAATTTTTGTATTTTTAGTAGAGATGGGGTCTCACCATGTTAGCCAGGCTGGTCTCAAACTCCTGACCTCGGGTGACCCACCTGCCTCAGCCTCCCAAAGTGCTGGGATTACAGGCGTGAGCCACCATGCCCAGCCAGGTACTTTCCTTTTTAAGAAAAGAATTAAGTCACTCCCTTTTGATTGGAAATGGCTAATCATAGGGTCTCAAGCTATTAACATAGAGACACCCTTGTTTAAAAATAAGGAAGGCTGCATAATGAGGTTAGTTTTCCCACGATTATGCAGCTAATAAATAGGAAAGTCTAGGTTCCCACCCAAGATGCTCTTCTCAGGCTTGCCTGTGCTTTCTCTGCTGCCCTAGTCTCCTCCACCATAAAAAGTGTTCAGGTGGGAACCAGAGAGTGAATGCTTGCATAAGCCTCACTTCCAGGTGCTTGAAATAGGGTAACAAATATTAAAAATAATGTGGAGTGCTTATGAATCACCTTAATATGTAAATGACTATGTTCTATTTAGAACTTTCTGCAGATAAACAAGATCAATGTTTGTTCTGAAGTGATTTGCACATCACACAGAAAAATATGAGAGAAAATCTATGCTCTCCACACCATATGTCTTGATGTCGAGACTGGTTTGATCTGTGTTACCAATAGACATGCCCCAAAATCAAACCACCTTGATCCTTTTAGGAAATAAGTAGGATATCAAATTTTAAAAAGTGAATATTCCTGAGAAATATCAAGTCTTTGCAGAGATTCTATAATCACTGTGAGGAATCCAGAAACTGCATTGATCAGTTTAAAACATGGCTGTTCAGTGAACTTAATGACTGTGCTATTTCACAGGAATGTTTGCCAAAAAAAATGAAATTGTTTATCAATTACTTGACTTTTTTATCTAGACAACGCCAGAAAAATCCAGATTTTTGGAATATGGACAATGCAAAAAAATTTTAGTCTATATTTATGGCATTGTCTAGTCTTAGCTTAAGAACACAGCATTTACTTGGCTTCATTATTTACTGTTCACTAACAGATAATAAAATTAATAGCAATTTGGGGGTGGTGCCATACTCTGAAACAATTAATAAAATATTTTCTCTTCTTTGCACATTATTGTGATTTTTTAAAGGCAAAGAGTGAATGATTCCTCAATTCTTAGCGTCATTGATGTAAAGTCAATATTTGATAAAAGAACCAAGTTATATTGTGAATGAAATCAGCTGGTTAGGTGCAATGGATGTGTCCACTTTAATAAAAGCAATAATTCAGGTTGAAAAGAACTTCATTATCTTTTCTCAAGATAAATTTTAATGGAGGCCTGGTCTGAGAATACAATGCCATAAGTTCTGAATCTTCAGGTTCGTGCAACAAGTCATTTCTTAAGTGACCTTCAGCTGACTACATAAAATCTGAATTGGTCTTGATTAGAATCTGTCCAGCTGTCAGTCTTTTGGCCTCTGAGATACAGAGGGCATATACCCATGATGCTGTGGGGTTATGTAAGAGACAGTAAAGAAATAGGGGGGAAAAAAACAGAATAAAATGTAATTACACAGAGTTTCGTTTAAAACAAAAATTGATTGAGTTCTGCTTAAAGTGGCTTGTTGTTTCCTGTGCCAGGAACTACTGTGCAGGCCCAGCAGGAAGTGTGCTACAGAGCAGGATCACCTTACACCCTCGTTTTATGGTTCATTTCACTTATTTAATGCAATCTGAGAACCTGCAAAAGGAACATGTTAGAAGGAGGGAATAGGCTTTTTGTCTTGTTTTGTTGTTGTTGTTGTTTTAAATTTCTTTGAATCAAAACATTTGTTTTTACAAGGTGCTTAAAGTCCCAGAGAAACAGGACTTCTAGAGTTGCACAGTGAAGACATTTCTCTTTGTCACACAATTTAAAGCAAGACACAAAGTTGAGTTATGTCTAGAGTTGAGTTATGTCTGTTTCCTTTGCTGTCCTACTCACATAAATTTAAGCATAAAGAATTACAACCATGCCCATGAATGGTCTAAATCATTTTGAATTCCATGTAAGTTCCTCCTAGGGTCTCTAATTTGATAGAGAGCCCATGATGTTGTGGGGAATGTTGGAGAAAAGGAATTAATATTTAAGATGTAGAATAGCAATTCATTTGTCAAGCAGGGGAATGAGTTCATTTTACTGTATTGTTTGGAAATGTGTGAATTGAACAGCTGGATTTCCTTGTGGTGGCATTTGCTGCTCCTCACACGCTGTCTGTTTTCCCCCCCAGAGACCTCAGTATGAACAACATCAGTCAGCTGCTCCCGAATCCCCTGCCCAGTCTCCGCTTCCTGGAGGAGTTGTAAGTATCACTGTAGTCTTGATGCATCCAGTCAACACTGGGCACATTCTTGTGTTTGTCTCTCATACTTACTGTGGGAACCAGATAAAACAAGGCAGAAAACCTGTCAGCACCAACAATTTCAGAACATGAGGAAACACTTAGTTGGGAGGGGGCAAAAATAGAATTGCTTATGATTCTGGAAATCAACTTATAAAAGAGTTTACCATAAGGCTACAACTTTCTAAGGTGAGACTGAGCCAAACAAATTAAAATTTTAAAACAAAGCCTGTTTAAAAGAGCTGGATAGCTCTTTGGAAATAGTTAAGCAGCAGGATATTAAAAGTTTGAATACTGGTTCATGTTTATTAAAATCGCAAGTAAAGCTATAATCAAAACCAAAAACTGCTGCTTGGTTCGGCTTATGACAGGGAGAATTGAGTCCACATTGCATAGCACCAAAACTTCTTGTCCTAATCACTTTTAATTACTATTTCCCTACTTTTAAATTTAGCTTCCCTCAAGGCTTCAGTAGAAAAATGTGAAATCCACAGAAGATTTAAAACTGGGCTCTTCCAAACACTAAAAATAAAAACTAAAAAAGGAGGAAGCTAAAATTAGTTAATGATACACAGAGGAATTTTGATTAAGTCTAGTAACCACTTTTCAGAAGATGAAAAAGAACTGTATAAATCAAAAATCTGCATTTAAAAATTCATTTGATCCTCTTACGCTTTTGAATGATGGGGATAAGGAGGTGATACCCCATCACAGCCCTAGTGTAGAACGTTTGGCACCATCAGTTGAGTCAATCCTCTGACTGTTGATTAAAGGAATTGTTTAGGTAATGACCTCTTTTGAAAATATTTTCTTTATAAATCCTGAAGTCAGAGTCCAATTTGGGGAGTAATTTAAATTGTTAATGCACCACAGAATCCACCATGGGAGGTGGAAAGAATGTTTCATCATAACCAAATTACACTACGTTGACCATTTTCTCAAGAGAATAAGAGGATAACATTTTGAAATTTCTCCCCTCTGGAGTTTTATCTATATTTATTTTTGATGGCATTATATTTTATGAAATGCTATTGTTTTACTACCAAAATCAGTTGCATGTGATAAAATTGGTATCAAGGGTTATGGTAGGGAATCTTAGATTTCTAGATTGTATAGAAGGTTTTGTCATTCATGGAATAGATTTTCACTCTAGGTCCCAGGCCTTTTTTTTCCATCTTCTCTTTTGTCTCAGGACATTTCCATTGCTAAGATTTAACCTTCATAGGAGCTGGAACAATGTCTGTCTTAGTCATGGCTGGTACATAATAAATAATCTGTAAATTTTTAATGAATAAACTAATGAGAAAGCAAAATATGTAAAAGGAGTTTCTTACACATGTCAACTCCCTAAGAAAAAGTAACAGATTTTCATTGACATTAGTCAACATTTTTAAAGGTTATTTTAAATAATTTTCAAACATCAGAATTTTAAAAAATTACATCCATCTTGTTCTCCCTATACTTCCACAATTAATATAGAATAGACAGCCCTGTTTACCCCCATATTTCTAAGGTATGCCCTTCCTATCCTTTTCCCTTTAATTCCCATATAATATCTCATGGCAAAATGCTTCCCTTCTCCCTCAACACACACCTCAACTTTAGACCACAAGCTGAATCAATAAATAATTCACTTCCCCAAGGACTTTGTTTAATAGATTTCCTCCCTCAGTGACCCAACTCATTCAAAATAACTCCTCTTTCTTCATGAGGTGAATATTAATTCTGTTCTAAGGCCAGTTTTTAAAAAGATAGTTGAAAAAAAATCACAAAAAAAGCAATGGTGTTTGCGGAGAGAACTACCATTTGAAAATGCTACTATTAATACTTTTCTGCCTTGTCTTATTTTTATCTCTCTGGAAACTTCATCAAATATCTTGACCATAGAATCACAAAATTTCAGAAATAGAGGAGACCCTTTAAAGACTATTCATTCCATTGCCTCATTCTGTTCTGGAATTCTTTCTGCTAAGCTGGCTGACTTGCTGAATTTAAAATCAAGACTGCTTTTCCATATATAATTCTGTGCTGCACCTAACTGATGTCTTAAAGACATCATTATTCATTTAGCGGCAAAAGAAGTTAGTATTTATAAAACCTGGAAAAATGATCAGCTCTTCTTGGTTTATTCCTTTGTTCCCAAAGCTAAATTTAGGGGTTTGGGGAGGTTCTATTTTTTTTGTTTAAAAAATATCCCTTTAACAGAACATTTTTTTTATGCTGTTGATTGTTTCTGTTAGACATATGCTTAAGTCTATATTCTCTTTTAGGCTATACAATCTTCAAAAATAATAATATAAGTGCAGTAACAACAATAATAGGTTACTGTGTGCCAATCACTGTTGAAAGTGCTTTACACACATCATTTCAGTGAATTATAACAACCCCAAAAAGATAGATATTATTATTCCCAGTTAACAGATAAGAAAACTTAAATACAGAGAAAATAAGGAACTTACCCAACATAATGGAGTTGGTATGTATCAGAGCCAAGATTCAAACCTAGGTCAAAGCTAAGATTCAAAATGACTTTCAAAGCCATGCTTGGAAAGTGGAGGGACGGTTGGAATTGTGCATGGTTTATTTGCGCTTTTTTTTTCTCCAATAGCACCTAGCACTGTGATTTCACAGTAGTTTGCATAGTTGAACACTTTTAAATGCTCTATAAACTGAGTTGTGTAATGATCAGTGTGTATATATGTGTCTGTGTCTGTGCATGTGTCTGGGAATGTGAAAGAAAGCAATGAAGAGCTGTCTTCCCAGGAGGAAGAGATTGGATATTCAGGTTATTAATCTACGACTATGATATACTATCTATGAGAAAAGTATCATCAGAACTTTCAGGTGTAGAATTTCACCAATCTAGCATTGTTCAATAGGTCCAAAATAGTCTTCGATAATATTTTTTACATGTAAGTACATATACTTAAGCACCATGTTTATGCAGTATATATTTTACTTGAACTAATAAACGACCACCCATACAGCTAGAAATGTTAACTCTCTCTTTCTCTCTCTCTCTCTCTGGGTGTGTGTGTTTGTGTGTGTGTTATGACAATTAGGACACTATGAAAGTGTTAAGTCTTTCATTCAGCTTATTCAGCTCATTTTTGTGCTTTATCTCTTTATACGTTAAATAGGAAACTGCCACTGACACTATCAATAATATTAAGAAACCTCCCATCATAAAACTCAGTCTTTAAAAATCACTATCAGCTGGGTGAAATGGTTCACACCTGTAATCCCAGCACTTTCGGAGGCCAAGGCGGGCAGATCACGAGTTCAGGAGATCGAGACCATCCTGGCCAACATGGTGAAACCTGTCTCTACTAAAATACAAAAAAAAAAAAAAAAATTGTTGGGAGTAGTGGTGGGCACCTGTAGTCCCAGCTACTCGGGAGGCTGAGGCAAGGGAATCGCTTGAACCCAGGAGGCAGAGGTTGCAGTGAGTCGAGATTGGGCCATTGCACTCCAGTCTGGTGACAGTGCGAGACTCCGTCTCAAAAACAAACAAAAAAAATCACTATTAATAAAGCCACATTATCACTCTTCCCCTTAGCTCTAATTACCGGATATATCATTTCTCTCATTTAATTCCTTTAACTATGTTATAAACTGTGTAGATAGCCATGGTTCATCTCTCATCCATGGCTAAGCCTTAACAAAGGTGTCAAAGTTCAAAATCCTGTAAGAATCAATAAAGCGCTAGAGATATACACTGACTTAATGTTTAAAAAAGCAAGTAACTCAGCCGGGCACAGGGGCTCACACCTGTAATCCCAGCACTTTGGGAGGCCAAGGTGGGTGGATCATGAGGTCAAGAGATCGAGACCATCCTGGCCAATATGGTGAAACCCCGTCTCTACTAAAAATACAAAAATTAGCTGGGTGTTGTGGCGCGCGCCTGTAGTTCCAGCTACTCAGGAGGCTGAGGCAGTAGAATCGCTTGAACCTGGGAGACAGAGATTGCAGCGAGCCAAGATGGTGCCACTGCAGTCCAGCCTGGTGATAGAGTGAGACTCAGTCTCAAAAAAAAAAAAAAAAAAAAAAAAAGCATTGTAACTCTTGATTGAATGATGAGTTACAGAAAGTATTTCAGAAGAACAGCTATTACAGAAAATTGTCTTCCTCTCTCCTTCCTGACATTCTAGAACACTTACTACCTATGCCGCAAGTTTTTGACACATTTCAGTCTTGTTTTTTATTTGTTTAGTTTAGTTTTGCTTTGTTTTGTTTTGTTTTTGTGACTCTACAAGGTGACCAGATATGCAGAGGCCAATTGTCCTTCTGGTGGCAATGTGCCCGTGCATAGAGAAGGGGAGTCTTTTTCTTTTGCAAAAAGAAAGAAAAGCAGGTCGAAATTAGGGAAGCTGTGCTGTATAGAAAGAAAAGCTCAGAATCTAGATTCAGAAGCCCAGGATTCCCATCCTGGCTCTGCCACTTACTAGCTGATAATCCACTTAATGCTCACTAGGCCTCAGAGGAGAATGGTGCTGTCTGCCTTTTAAGGTGTTTCCAAGAATCAAATGAAAGGATGATGAAAGAACGTTGGTAAACTATATTCTGTATATACAGTTGTATTAGTAAAATGAAAACACCTTCAAAAAGATTTTAACCCCCTCTTTTCTTTTTTCATGAGCCTGATTTTGCAGGAATCTCAGGGATCCTGGACTTGAAAAACTGTTTCCAATTCTGAGCTTTAATGGATATAGGCAACGATTGCAGATAGTTCTTTACTATTTTAATAACCCGAGAAATCATTGCATTTCCCTCCAGCAGTATCTCTCCTCCTTCTATTTACTCAGTTCTAGGAACTTCCGTTAACGCTTGCTATGTAGACAAATAAAAGATCCTACATTTGGGCCATCAGAGTGTAGTAGAGATGTTGGGAGCTAATGGCAGATGGTGACTATTACTGGCGTCTACAAGTTACATTAAACTTAGCTTGGTAGTCTGACTAAATAAGGAGGGGGGAATGAATTGTTACCATTTAAAATTGTCCAAGTTAAAGGCCTTTATTTCCAAGTAGTATTTTAAAATCTTCCCAGATTCTAGTGCTATTGGAATCAAATACTCGATTTAGAAAAGAAACATGAGAAGCTCTAGGGGGGTCTGTTTTTAAGTTACTATTGTTCCCTGGAACCGTTTGCTCATATTATGGTTGGACATGACGAATCTCTATATAAATAGTAGATATCTATTATTACAGATGAAATTTGTAATGAGAGATCACTAAACTTCCTGAAAGCATAATCTAGGCTTGTTACTTCTACTTCCCCAGCATGTTACTGAAAATAGCATCTGTATAGCTGTCCTGCCTGTCTTTTGAGATTTTTTTCTTCCTGAGGATCAAATGAAACAATGATCAAAGAACTTTGGTAAACTATAATCCACATATTGAGTTGTGTTCATAAAATGAAAACATCTTCATGCCCATGAATAATCTTCAGGCCCCTTGGCCTTCTCACAGTGATCGTCTCCTGTCTTCATAGATCTGCCCATTGATTATAAACACTGCCTCCTTGAAACTCAAGTGTTATTTCACGGCAGTTATTTTGTATGGGTAGTCTTCCAAATGACTATCCATCCAGCTAGATATAGACATTTAGATATCGGTCATTGTGTATATATATATGTTTGTGGTGTATATCTTTTGTTATGACAATGAAGCCACTGTTTTGAAAGTGCCCTACCTCTCTGCCTCCTTTTTCTCCTTAGCATTCCATTCTCCCCCACCACCTATAAAATGTAGACATCCCTCATATATTTCCACTTAACTTTATTGTCTCCTTTCTCTATACTTCCTCCATTCACATATTTATGAAGCCACTAAGAACATAAGAGCAAATACGACTTGCTGTGTTTGTTCCATTCATTCATTCAGCAAGCCCCTGCCCTCAGGAAGTTGTCAATTGAGTGGAGGAGACAGATAATAAGCAAGGACACAACTGCATATGATATTTGCTAATTGTGACAAGAGCAGTGAATAACACAAACATGGTATAGATAAGGAACAAATAACAAGGAGTGAGAAGGAGGGAAGGCCTAAGAAGGTGATGTCTAAACTGATGAGAAGGTGGAGGAGGGACTGGGAGCCTGGAGCTGAGATACAGTATTTCAAGCAGGAGAACAGTGTGAGCAGAGGCCTTAGGTGGGAAGAACGTGATGTGTTTGTGGAGCTGCAAAAAAAATCAGTATGGCTGGAGCAGAGTAAGAGAGAGGGAAGTGAGGTGGATGCAGCTGGAGAGGAAGGAAAAGACCAGATCGTGCAGGGCCAGTTAAGCCATGTATGGAATTCAAATAAGAGCAATGGGAAGCCATTGGAGGATTGTGTGCAGCTAGTGAACCAACAGGATTTATAAACCTAAAAGATTTCTCTGATTTCTGCATGCAAAATAGATTGGGGAATTATGGAAGCCGAAGGACCTGGTAGGAGGCTACGATAGGTGTCTGGGCGAGAAACTCATATAGATGACCCCCAAATCTATGTTTCCAGACCAGATCTCTTTTGCCTTTGATTGCTAGACCAATGGTTCTCAATATATTGTCCCTGGACAGTGGTGCACTGGCACCACCTTGTTATTTATTCTTTATCTAAACTTGTTCTTTATGAGTTGGCTTTTGAGAAATACAATTCATGTGCCCCCACCCCAACCTGGTAAATCAGGAACTCTGGGGGTTAAACTCAGAAAACTGCCTTTAACAAGCTCTCCAGGTGATTCTGATGCATGGTAAAGCTTGAGGACCACTACTCTAGGCTAGTGGTTCTCGAAATCTAGTGACATCAGGATCACCTGTAGTGCTTGTAAAACCACGCATCTCTGGGCCCCATCACAGAATTTCAGCAGGCCAGGGATTGGGAGGAGAAAGTCAAGTGGCTTTATAAACCACTTCCAGGTGATGTCAATACTGCTCGTTTAGCTACCACATTTTGAAAATCCCCAACTACTTAAGTGACACCTCCACCAACTATCCATCAATACTTCAAAACTCAACATGTGCAGAACCAGATTCATTCATGTGTCACCTGCCCAGCCGCCCACAAGCATTTTCTCCTACCTTGCCTGCTTGCCACCAGCATTCTTATTATCCAGACTTGTGCCTGCCCTGTCATTTTCTTCTCTTACCTCCTATATTCAGCCAGTTTTCAAGTCTTAAAGCTCATAATTCCACCTTGTCTTTCCTGTTTGTTCACTCTATTTTGTCACCACCTAGTTCAGGTTCTCATTGTCTCATTTGGGTAACTCGTTTTTGGTTTGTTTGTTTTGTTTGTTTGTTTGTTTTTTAGACAAAGTCTCACTCTGTCGCCCAGGCTGCAGTGCAGTGGCACGATGTCAGCTCATTGCTACTTCCACCCCCTGGATTCAAGCAATTCTCTTGCCTCAGCCTCCCAGGTAGCTGGGATTACAGGCACCCGCCATCATGCCCAGCTAATTTTTGCATTTTAGTAGAGATGGGGTTTCACCATGTTGGCCAGGCTGGTCTCGAACTCCTGATCTCAAGGATCCACCTGCCTTGACCTCCCAAACCGCTGGGATTACGTGAGTGAGCCACCGCGCCTAGCCTGGGTACCTGTTAAAATCCATTAACAAATCACCTGTCCTAATTCTGTCAACAATTAATGAATTAATCATTGTTTCTGGGGATGGAGACCATGAAGGTCTTCAGGTGATCTTATAAATATTAAACAGAGAGAACTACTTCAAAGTATCCCATCCTTGAATATGCATTAGAATCGCCTAGCACACTTTTTAAAGCTACTAATGACCAGCGGTTGTCCCCAGAGATTCCGATTTAATGGGTCTCACTGGGAACCCAGACATCTTTTATTTCAAAGCTGTACAGGTGGGCTGAGAACCACTGGAATATATGAAAGCACCCCAACAGACAAAGGCAGTCAGGGACTCATCAGTTGGTTGAACATAGGGACTAAAGGGGAGGTCTAAAGATGAGAGATGACTCTGAATAGGGTTATGAAATCGGGTGTCAGGAGCTGGTGAAGGACAAAAACAGGGAATTCAAGGGAAGAACTGATTTTGGAGGCAAGAGGATGCCCAGTTCTGGATATACTAAGTGCAAGGAGGCAGCAGGACATCTAAATGGGAATGTCAGTAACGTTGTTGGAATGTAAGTGTGAAGCATGATGGGTCTGTTCTAGAGATAATGATTGGAGAGTGGTTTACAAAGAGGTGATGGTTGAAGGTGCTGGGTGGATGAGAACCCTGAGAGAGAAACTTGAGAGAGGCTCTGTGTTTCCCAGTGTAGTTTTTCAATCTACAATAAAATCACTGGAGCTGCTTATTAAAAATGCAGATTTCCAAGTCCTTCTCCCAGAATGTCTGGTTCCCTGGGTCAGGATTGGGGCCTTGGGGATCTGAATTTTTATGGCTTCTAAAGTGATGGCAATGCACACTAAAATTTGAGTACCACTAAGCAGAGCAGAAAAAAAGAAAAGGTGTGAGGACAGAAACTTGAGGAACATCTATGGTTGAGCAATGAAGACTAAAAGAGAGCCTAGCAAAAGGAAGAAGAGATGACCAGTCATAGTGGTAAGAGTAGTAAGATTGTGCTGAATCTGAAAGGCAGTGAGAGGAGTTTAAATAAAAAGCAATGGGCAATGGTTTTCTGATAGCCAATGCCTCAAGTGATACAGCCATTGTGTCCCTGCATTTTCCTGTTTTAGGTCAGGGTTGCTCCTGACCAACCTAAGCTTAAGACCAGCCTTCCTTTAACCAGAGTAATAATTAAAAACCCCCAATTTGGGGTCAAAATGCTATATTTGAACCAAACTTTCTTCTGTGAACTTTTCTACATAGTGTGAGCAAATAACCTCCCTTTGGCCCATTCTGCCATCTGTAAATGGAGATGATGCCAATTGTTTAATGTGATTGTTATAAACAAATAGCATCATGCCCATAAAGTACTGAATATTGTGCCCTAGCATTTATGGACTGTTTGATAAATGGTAGCTACTATTTATATGTCCAAAAGCACTATATGTGGCATATTGAAAGTGCTCTAAGAAATTGCTGAATTTAAGTTTGATATGTAACAAAGAAGGAATATTCCTCAGCTGTTTCTAGTCTGGTTTTGTGACTAGCTATCTTGGAATAGTTATGCCAGATCTGAAGCAACTGAGGCAGTATGGCCAGCTGCCTTTGGAAACAAGATCAAACGATCAATAAATATCAGTTGAGCTCCATACTCTGTGCATGCAATAAGACTCTTGAGCTTAGGAGTCTATAATCAGACTACTTATAAAAGGGTACCAAATGAGCTAGGCAGAGTGGTGCGTACCTGTAGTCCCAGCTACCAGAGAGGCTGAGTTGGGAGGATGGATCACTTAAGCCCAGGATCTTAAAAAACAACAACAACAACAAAAACAAACAAACAAACAAAAATAACACCTTTAAAAGAAAGGGTAGAGGGTAGAAAATCAACCATTATAGGCTACATTGTATAGAATGTATCTTATAGGAGAGCTGTTAACCGAGATGGTTAAGGAAGATTCCATAAAGGAATTAAAATTGAACTTCCTTAGTCTGGTTAAAGAAACCACAGGGGCAGGGCACGGTGGCTCACGCCTGTAATCCCAGCACTTTGGGAGGCCGAGGCAGGTGGATCACGAGGTCAGGAGATCGAGACCATCCTGGCTAACACAGTGAAACCCCGTATCTACTAAAAACATAAAAAATTAGCCGGGCGTGGTGGCGGGCGCCTGTAGTCCCAGCTACTCAGGAGGCTGAGGCAGGAGAATGGCTTGAACCCGGAAGGCGGAGCTTGCAGTGAGCCCAGATCGCGCCACTGCACTCCAGCCTGGGCGAAAGAGCAAGACTCCCTCTCAAAAAAAAAAAAAGAAAGAAAAAAAGAAACCACAGGGCCCTATGCACATTAAAGTATCTCCTTATTGACTTGAAAGAGTTCATTTACTCAGTCCAGTGGTCTTAGTCCTTAACAATTCTTAGCCCATGAACCTTGAAATCTGAATGTTTTTATTATATCAAATAATGAAAGCAAAATGCACAGCTCATGAATACACAGTTTAAGAAAGAAAGCTTTTTGGCTGGATTTGACAAATTGGATATGCTTAACACAATGACGGCATCACTTGAGGCATTGGCTAGAACAATGGAAGGGGGTAGATACAGTTTTTGAAAATTGCAATTTTTCAAGGAGTATTAGGAAAGATATTTTTTCTCAAATGGGGAGAAAATTAGTTGATGAAATGTCATGATTCTTATATCCAAGGCACTAAATTGGCTTCTGCAAATCTTACCAAAGATGAACACAAGAAGGTTAAGCTCTTACGTATCTGGTCCCATCTGACCAGCAGGGGCACCTTGTAAAAGAAAACCTACCATGGTGGGCTCAGTCAATTGCTGCTGTCATGCATTACTGCAAGTTGAGGCAAATTACATCTTACTATAAGTTTCATCATATTTCTAATTCTTGATATGACTCAGATACTTGGCTCCTGTATTGATAAACCAAAGCCAAACCTATAAATGTAGTTGGCCCTAAAAGCAACAAAAGCAAATTAATTAATTGAATTGAATCATGAATATCAATTTTAATAGACTATTATACTGGTTTCATCACTTATGTATCTTTTGAGAGTCACTAATTATATTATCATAGTTTTGGCTAACTTTATTTAGGACAATATTTTTCCAAATGAGAATATTTTGATACTTTATAAAAGAATAAAAGACTTTTCAGAAATTTTACATTTAAATGATAGTTTAACAGCAGTTAATTGTTCAGGTAAATTACAACTCCAAAGAGTGGGAAAATTCAGAAATAGTCACAGAACTGCTGAAATCAATATTGGAAAATCACAGAGAAGGAAAACAGTACCAGAAAACTGGAAATAGGCAAATATCATCCAGATTTTTAGAATGGAAAAAGAGGGAAAACTATTACCATTAAGCCTGATAGCCCTCATCAAATTTCTAGAAGAAATTAATTTAACATTTATAGACTGTATGCCCTCTCACTCTCGTGTGCTTTGTAAAAGTTAGAAAATAAAGCGGCAATTTCTAGGAGCCAGCATGAATTTACTAAGTAGTCTGATGAAATGTTTTCTTTTAAATCACAAGAATTATCATGTTCAAGTTCATTCTACTCCAATTATTTAAGTAGCACTGCTATTACATGGCTTCCATGCTCCATAAGAAGACTAGACTACATTTAAATAAATAAGGAAAGCAACAATGTTTTTCACTTTCCATAAAACCTTTTGGAGCTTTGGTGTCTTCATCTACAAAATGTGGACAATAATAATCCCTGACCTATCTCTATGATATAAATTATGAGAGAGTGCTTTTTACAATGTTAATGACATGTTATAATAAAGTAATCTTACAATAAACAAGAAGAAAAAGGGAGGAAAAGGAGAATGAGGGAGGAAAAAATAACAGTAGGAAATGCAAGTGTAATTTTTTTTTAAATTTGAGCGTAGAAAAAGACCTTCATGAAAGAACCGTTTCATTTTTTTTAATTTAAGGGAAATAAGGCCCAGGAAAGTTAAGTAACTTGTGTTGTCTCACAGCAAGTTAATGGTGAGAAGAAAGAAAATCAAAAAGGGAAAGAAAAAAATAACTAAATTAGAACTCAAGAAGAAATTTGTGCAAGAACTGACCCAGGAGGTCTGGTAGATCTAGCCAGGCCCCCTCGCTTAACTCTGAAAATGCTACTCAGCCAAGTGGACCCCTGTCGGACCATGGTTTCCTGCACAATAATTTCCCAAGGGTCTCAAATGCAAGGTCAAATGCCCGCTTCCATCCTCAGTACTCCCCAGATCTTGTACACATACCTCTCCCTATGTTTAGAGAGGAAAAATTAGACCTATATACAATTGCTTTGCTCTCATACCTCCATTTTAAAAAGGAAGCTACAAAATATAAAATAAAATCTTTTATATTACTTTAAAGATTCAAATTACTTTAACAATTCAAAGAAAATTGTACATTCTCCAAAATACTGTAGATGGTTTTTACAGCACCAAAACATCTACCTGTTTGATTTATCGAAAAAGGAATGTGTCTATTTTCTCTTGTAACTTAATGGGTTTTTTCTTTTAATAGCAATTAAGTCAGTAAAACTAACAATGGTGGGACAATATGAGTCACATTTGGAGCAATTATTTAAGGGATAAAAACTTTTTAAAATATTTTATGTAGAAAGACAAGTTTTTTTTAATCGAGTTACATCTTGTTACAGAAGTGAAGATAATGAAAGGGACATTGCCATGAAATAATAATTTTAGAAACAGCATTAAAAAAAAAAAAAAACTTCTGACCAAATGTTATGTTGCTCTCTAGGGTTGGAAAATAGTTGTTTAGCAAACTGTTGTAGTTCAAATCATCACAACAAAGGTGTGTGTGTTTCTTACTATTTGTGTATTGTGAACACATTTGAAAGCCTGTTTTATTCCTATGTTTGTATGCATTTCGGTTTCAAAAGTACTAAAGCCACCCCACATGGTAAAGAAATAAAAGGGGAATGATTTCCTTAAATTGTTGTTTTTGTCAATGAGACAGATCTGCCACTAGCCCAGCAAACAGCCAATAGCAGATCATAAATTCCTTTGCTTTGAGACAGACTGCCCTGATAACACAGGTCAGTGGTTCCACAGGTTAGTTCTGAATACAGACTCAGGGGACTGAAAGTCCCTGCCCAAAAAAGAAAACCAATTTGTGTGAAGTGAGTTTCAGGAAATGTAACAGAAAGGCATTCATCCTAACAATAATTTAAACTAATTTAAAAAAATAAAGTTTTTACTTTCTCCTCTTCATTTCCAAAGTCACTGTTTCAAAAACCATCCAGCTACTTGATGATACTGTCACAGCAGTGAGAGCTGATAAACACCTAGTTGAAGGCTATGTTTTAGAGCTCACAAATGCACTGTTGAAGTCCTGACTGTGACCAGTATAGTTAGGGACATTTTGACCAAAATAACAGTTATGAGTCAGTTGAGTCTGATCAATTAAGCTGTCTATCATGGTCAACCAAACCTGAATCTGTCTTAATTCAAAAAGCAACTTTTTTGTATCACATCATGCCCATTTCATTTGCTTCAGTATTATACATTATACATCGCATTTTGGATAACTAATCAAATGCATGTGGATTATACATAATGTAACCATAAGTATAAAACGTTGCTCCTCTTTGACTGCCTACATTCCACCTCGACCCTAGTGGCTCATCAGCTTGGACTTTTCTTCCACACCAAATCCCACCACTTCATGCCACCTCTGCCACTGCTACACTATCCCACCATCTCCCATCTGGAGACTTTAGTCCCTCCTGCGCTTCCACTCTTGACCCCCTGGTCTATTCTCCCCTTTAAAAGGGTCCCATTGAAAATTTTGGCAAACTATGCATCTAACAAAGATCTAATATCCAGCATCTATAAGAAACTTAAACAAATTTACAAGAAAAAAACAAAAAATTAAAAAGTGAGCAAACAGACACTTTTCAAAAGAAGACATACATGCAGCCAACAAGTATATGAAAAAAAAGCTCAGCATTACTGATCATTAGAGAAATGCAAATCAAAACCACAATGAGATACCATCTCACACCAGTCAGAATGCCTGTAATTAAAAAGTCAAAACATAACAGTTGCTGGCAAGATCGTGGAGAAAAAGGAATGCTTATACACAGTTGGTGGGAGTGAAAATTAGCGCAACCATTGTGAAGACAGTGTGGCTATTCCTCAAAGACCTAAAAACAGAACTACCATTCGACCCAGCAATACATTACTGGGTATATACCCAAAGGAATATAAATCATTCTATTATAAAGACACATGAATGCATATGCTCATTGCAGCACGATTCGCAATACCAAAGACATGAAATCAACCTAAATCCCCATCAGAGGTAGACTGGATAAAGAAAATGTGGTACATACACACCATGGAATATTATTCAGCCATAAAAAAGAACAAGATCATGTCCTTTGCAGAAACATGGATGGAGGCCATTATCCTCAGTGAACTAACACAGGAACAGAAAACCAGGTACCACATAGTCTTATAAGTGGGAGCTAAATGATGAGAACACATGGACACATAGAGAAAAACAACACACACTGGGGCCTATCAGAGGATGGGAGGAGGCAAAGGATCCGGAAAAATAACTAATGGGTACTAGGCTTGATACCTGGGTGATGAAATAATCTGTACAACAAACCCCCATTACACAAGTTTACCTATATAACAAACCTGCATATGTACCCTGGACTTAAAAGTTAAATAAATATATAACAAAAGGGTCCCATCAGAAGGACATTTCTAAAACACAGATCTGATCACATTACTCTCTGATCTGAAGTCCTTCCAAAGACCTTTATGGGATGGGCCTGGACACCTCTCCAACCTTACCTCCTGCCATCCTCCTCCTGTTATTCCACTCCAGCCATGCTCGCCTCCTTGCAGCTTCTGGACCACACCAGGCACTCTCTACCTCAGGAATTTTGTCCTACTGTTGTCTTTATATCGATACCTGCATGGTGCAGGCATCTGCTGAAATGCCTACTCAGCAGAGATTTTTCTGACCATCTTATCTGAAATAATAGCACGTCACCGCCACAACCACCACCCATTGCTCTCTATCCCTTTGCCTTGATTTTGCTTTTTTCAGAGCATTTTTCATGTTATATTATTCACTTGAGTTTTTATTTAATGACTATCTTGTCACATTAGAATACCAGCTCCATGAGGTCAGGGGCTTTATCCTGGTATTCACTGCTGTATCACTGTCACCTAAAGTGGTACTAACACAAAGCCGGGCACGGTGGCTCATGCCTGTAATCCTAACACTTTGGGAGGCTGAGGCGGTGAATCGCTTGAGTTCAGGAATTTGAGACCAGCCTGGACAACATGGTGAAACCCTGTCTCTACCAAAAAAAACAAAAAACAAAAAACAAAAAAAACCACAAAAATTAGCCAGGCATGGTGTCATGTGCCTGTAGTCCCAGCTACTTGTGGGGCTGAGGCAGGAAGATTGCTTGAGCTTGGGAGGCAAGGTTGCAGTGAGCCAAGCTTGAGCCACTACACTGTAGCCTGGGTGACAGAGTGAGACCCTGTTTCAAAAAAATAATAATAATAAATAAATATAAAAAATAATAATAATAATAAAGTGGCACCAGCACAGAGCAGGCCCTCAATAAATACCATGGGATATTAAAAAAATAGCTTCAGATGTGGAGGAATTATAACCCTGGTGCATTATTAGTGGGAATATATAAAAGTGTAATCATTTTTCCAATGGTTATGCATAGAACCACCATTTGACCCAAGAATTCCACTACTAGATATATACCCAAAGGAATGGAATCCAGGGACTTGAACAGATATTTGTACACTAATATTCATAGCATCACTGTTCACAAGAGCCAAAAGATGGAAAAACACAACTTTCAATTAACAGATGAAGGGATAAACAAAATGCAGTATATACCTACAATGGTACATTATTCTATCACAAAAAGGAAAGCAATTTTGATATATGGTGTAACATGGTTGGACACTGAAAATATTATGCTTAGTGAAATAAGTCAGATACAAAAAGAAAACATTATATGATTCCACTAATATGAGATACCTAGAAAAAGCAAGTTCATAGACAGAGGATGTAGAATAGAAATTACCAGGGGCTGGAAATAAGGGGAATGGAGGGATATTGCTAATCAGGTATGGAGATTTTGTTGGGGATAATCAAAAATTTGGGTATAGATAGTGGTGATGGTTAGACTACATTGTGAATACATATAATGCTACTGAATCAGAATACTACGCAGCCATAAAAAAGGATGAGTTTATGTCCTTTGCAGGGACATAGATGAAACTGGAAACCATCATTCTCAGCAAAGTAACACAAGAAGAGAAAATCAAACAACGCATGTTCTCACTCATAAGTGGGAGTTGAACAGTGAGAACAGATGGACACAGGGAGGGGAACATCACACACCGGGGCCTGTCGGGGAATGGGGGACGGGGGGAGGGATAGCATTAGGAGAAATACCTAATGTAAATAACGAGTTGATGAGTGCAGCAAACCAACACAGCACATGTATACCTGTGTAACAAACCTGCACATTGTGCACATGTACCCCAGAACTTAAAGTATAATAAAAAAGAAAAATCTCTAGACAGGCAGGCTAGTGTGGGAGGAAAATTTTAAAAATGCTACTGAATCTACACATACAAATGTTTAAAATAGTAAATATTGTTTCACGTATATTTTACCACAGTAAAAATATGCATAGCCAAGACCAGAAAAAAAGATAGCTTGAAAGAATAACATTTCTTCCCAACTTACACTGACTTTTAGGAAAACAGCAACATGCGATGTCTGTGATAGTTCAGGTGCACCAATTGCAAGCTAACAATAGGAAGACGAAAGGGAAATAAAGCAGAGAGACAGAGAATATTGTACATTGAAACAGCTTTGCAAACATGGTGCATTGGGGACAATATCTAGGCAAGTATGATACCATACCTTTCTCTCCTGCAGTGGAGGTTTACCAGCCCAGACAGCTAAATAATCCTTCAATCCTTGACTTTCAGAGGAAACCGCGGGGGTCCATCCTGATTCGATTATTCATCCAAAACAGACTTCAGGGCTTTGGGACAGCTCAGTTCCACAGGGTCATCCAGCAGCCTGGGTTCCTTCTGGTTTTTTGTTGTTCTTGTTTTGCCTTCTGTGGAAGGTTCTCCAAACCAGAATTGTTGATGTTGTCTCACCAGTACCACTTCTGCAGGAAGGGGAAATTGAAGAAATTAAGAACAAGCAATGTCTTTTTAAGGAGGTGATACAGGTGTTTCACATATCACTTTTGATCACAGTTGAGTTTAGTCACTTAATCAGGTTTAGATGCAAGGAAGACTGGAAAATCGGACTGTAGCTGGGTGGCCATGTAATCTGCTAAAATTCTGGGTCGGGAAATTATTCTACAAGGGGAGAATGGATACTGGGGGACAGTCAGTAGTCTCTACTCAACTGATTAGTCAGGCACTACTGGGGCAACCTACTTTCAGACAGTATTCAAGGCCCTATACGGATACCAAGAGAATATCCAGGTTTGAGTAGTTCCCAGTCTTTCATGTGTCATAAGACAAGTACACACTATAACACAAGGTAGACTATAAAATTCATAGTAAGACACAAAGTGCTACCAAAGGAGTTCAAAGTAGAGACACTGACCATCAGAAACTGAGCTGTCCAAATGCTTTCCAAACTGATGGTCAATCTCTCTACTTTGAAGTCCTTTGGTAGCACTGAGGTTGCTTTGAAAAACAGGGAGTGAAAGGAGAGCATTTTAGGTGGAACAAAGGGCTAGAGGGGGGAATGTGGAGGGCATGTCTAAAAAAAGCAAACCTCATAGTCTGGTTCAGTTCTAGCACCCACTAGGGATCAGGGAATTCTCGGAAAAGAGTCTGAGGACTTTTCATTTCTATTTACCTGGCATGAAAACTGACAGAGAGTTTTCGAATAGGGCAGTAATATGGTCAGAGTTGTCTTTATAAAGACCATCAGTGAATATGGAAGGGGTGGGAGTAGGTCGAGACTGAATATGGGGAGACAAGATGGAAGGTCAGAGTTAGTGTCTAAAGAGAGTTTTCTGATAAGACAGTTTTATAGGAAACAAAGAAATAAAATACCTTTGCCCTGGTCAAATATTATGCTGAATTACATGTTAATAACACATATTTATTAAGTGCCAACACCATGCTTAGGCTAGCAGCTCTCAAACCTTTCTGACCATGTATAGGAAGAAACAAATTTCCTCCCCCAATCCATTTTCACAAATATATTTGGAAACAAAGGTTTTTATAAAACAATACTTCAGCCAATTCACTCTGCTGTTTGTCTACTCTATTTTTTTTTCTTAATTTTAGACCAGCCACTAAATTATTTATCACTTGAAAAAACACTTCTTTAGGTACCACGAGATAGGTAGGAGGAATACAATACAGTAGCTATCCAAGTCTTTTAAAAGATTATATCTGTCAAGAGAAGGAAAAACAGGCACAAACACAAATGACTACAAGACAAGGTAGGGAAATCGTGGAGTTTTGGATCTGGAAGGGACCCAAGAAGACATTTTATCTTAACATTTCTTGTAATCAGTGGGAAAGCAAAGCTCAGCAATATTAACTAATTCAACAGCACAAAGCAAGTTAGTGCTGCAGACCCAAGATAAGCAGAGCCTCTTGGAGAGGTCCTAGGACCTTCTTATGTTGCTAATTTTTTTAAGCATAATTTTTTAAAGTGTGTTGTATTTTAATTTTATTTCATTTGCATTGAGTAAATAATGCTTTAAATACACATACCACAAATACTACTCAGAAGTTCTATTCATTTGATAAGCGTAGCATTTCTTTAAATATTCATTTATAGTATATTATCAGTGGTGTGAAGTGGCAATGGGACACACATTTAAAGTTATATAAGAAATGGCTTATTTCAGTCCAGTCAGTGGATCTCTGTGACTGAATTCTCTCTCCTTTAAAGATAGTATCAAAGGTATACATTTGAGGCTCTTAGGTCCTTCAGAAATAAGCACTAGTCAACTGGACCAACAAAATCCTTATCCCCAAATCCCCATCTCCATCATAGTACCCAGCAGGGGGCTGGGTACTATGGCACACCCCTGTAGTTCCAGCTACTCAGGAGGGTGACGCAGGAGGATTGCTTGAGCCTAGGAGTTCAAGGCCAGCCTTGGCAATAAACCATCTCTAAAAAAGAAAAAAAAGAAAAAGAAAAAAGGGCAAAGGTATATTGAGTCCCAGTTCTACTCACCAGTCTCAGATATGATCAGCTCCTCAAAATACTGTGCTCTTTGGAGTCACATTGTTGTTTTTGCATTTTTCATTTTGTCCTTTAGTATATGAGGTTATGGCTTTGATGTGGCTGCCAAAAAAATACTGAATCACATGTTTCAGGTACCACATCTTGTTGGTCTTTTGCACAATTTTTCACCTTGGCTATCTTCTACTTAGAAAAATATTATAAAGTAAACTTCTAAAATTTTACCAGTTAATAATGTCAGAATTTTCCATTAAATAACCCATGTTAATGTCCTTCATACTAATCTCTCTTTGTTTTCAATTTTTTTAAGCATTGCTCTATTAAATCATGTTAAATTAAGGTACTCTATCCTTTTCTGGTAGAGTTTAGAAAAAATTGATTGTGATAGTCTACATTCTTATTTGACAAATTTAGTAAGAAAGTTGGGTATTTTGAGGTATAGTTGCAACAGAAATATTCTAATGTTTATCTAATCTATTTTATCTTACAAAGAATAGTTGTAAAACTCGTGACAGTCACATTTTGACATTACAATTTTTTGCAAATTATCATATGGTGTTAGCATTTGCTTAAAAATTGTTTAAAGGACAGTTTTATATATATGTACATATGGTATAAGCTATTAAATTGTTTATTGTAAAGTAGGTAATTTATTACATTTCTTTTTAGGCACTTTTGCCAACATTTTAATTAGAAATTTATAGATATTTTTTGCAAAATATAACAAAACAAAGTTGTTTACAGTTGCTTTTGATATTTGTGGTTTAAACATAGTTGTATTGCATTTTTTTAACAACTAAATGACTTCCACATGAAGAGGTATGCTCACTCTCTCTCCTCTCCATTGAAACCCACAGACGTCTTGCGGGAAACGCTCTGACATACATTCCCAAGGGAGCATTCACTGGCCTTTACAGTCTTAAAGTTCTGTAAGTAAACTGAGTGTTGTTGGATATATTTCTGATTTTAGTGTCAAATGGCTGCTAATTAACTTGTAAAAGCTGAGTGTCTCTAATACACTATTTAAATCCATGGGATAATTCATCTAAATTCAAGTTTACTTCATTGGTACCATACAGCCATATCACACTTGGCTAAATTTGTATGTGAAAAAAAATTCATCTCTCCTTTTCTAATTTTAATATCTAAAATTTTTGCCTTTAAATAACTACCTTATCAACTCAGACTTTTAAAAGAGTATTTCCCTTTCCCTTTGTGTTATGAAATTGGGGTGCGTGTCTTCAAAAGCATTTTGATGACAGGATGAATAAATCACTGTGATGCTGACATAATGAGACCACAGCTTCAAACCGGTTTCAAAGGGGAGTGAATAAGCATCAGCTAAAAAAACCAAGTTTGTGTTCCACCTGTGAATAGATAGGGTAAAGCCTAGTGTAGAGCAGATACACTGAACAGTTGTTTATTTGTTAATTCATTGAAAATTGTAAATATGAGGTTTCTCATTATTTAATGTCCAATTTCTCAATTTGTTTATCAGAAAAATCATTATTATTGAATACTTCCTTCTTCTGGTACCCATTGTTTAATTTTCTTTTAGTTTGTTCTGTGTAGAAAAAAGAGGCACTTACGTAGATAAAACAGATAATGCAAGGAAAAGTTTATCTCAGAAAAAAAATCCTGATTTTCTTTCTTTGACATAAAAGTTATTAACTTTGATATATTTCTGCTTATTGAAAATTACATTTCAGTGACCTAAAAGACACATAGGTTAAAAAAACAGTTTATTCAATTTAATATTTTGTTAAAAGTGAAATTCAACAGCAGAACCGTTATTTGATCGCCTTAGGAGATTGGGTTTGGTTTCCCTTCCTCTCTTTGAATTTTTTTCTTTTCTTTCTTTTTTTTTTTGCTACTAAGAAGAAATGCTTTTAAGTTGTCATGTTGCCAAATCCTAATAGTAATTCCTTATGTGGTAAAATTCAGAGTTGTAGCACCAGCTCCGATGCATATAGTTTCACAAACCCCCCAAAAAAATTTGGAACCATTCAAAATGTATCGTGAGAGTCAAGTTTAGATAAGACAACTAAAGTGATTTTTTTTCCCATGTTGAGCTATGTACCACTAAGTATTTGGGATACTTGTGAAATAAATTTTACTAGAATCAAGTATTTTAATTCACTTAACAAAGTGTATATTGGATATATAAGCCAGTGTGTGTGTATCTCCAGACATCAAATTATACTTTAATTATAAATGAGTAAAATGAATACATTTAAATTAATATGGATATATATGAATTATATATAAGCTAGTTATTATAATTACATATAATTATAATTTTAAATCCTTGAATTCTTAAATATGAATTATACAAGTCTTATACTAATTTTTCTATCATATTTTTATATTTTATATTAATAGTTATACCATTATATATTTCTAATTGTATTCACTAGTGCATTACTAGAGAATGTTTGTTTCCCACAATGCACTAAAGATCTATGAAATTAGAGATGTCATCTGTCTTGGTCACTGGTATATCCCCAGCTCCTAGAACACTTCCTTACTTAGAGTAGACATTCAATAAATATTTGTTGAATTAATGATTCAGGCTGATGATCTAGAGAGAATAAGGGAGTTCTAGATTTTTCAACTTTTTCTTCATTTTTGTATGATATTGACCCAATGCTGTATGTTTATTAATGGAATATCTATTGTGTATTAAACAAAAAAGTTGTGCCTTCATATCTGATATGTACTTTTACCTACAAAGAGGCTTTTTACCCAGAATGCTCCTGCACACACTTTGCTGCTTCTTAAGGTGCATTTTACCTGAAGACTCCAGAGTGGAGTGGATTAATATGATTCAAAAATGAGAAGCATAGATTATTTCTCATGCTAACTATTAAAATGTACCCTTTCCATCAGAAAAAAAAAAATGGTATTTAGACCCTCTCTTTTATCCACTCCTACTAACCAATGTTTCCTGTCTCCTGTACAGTCAAGGGTTCAGCAAAGCCTAGTGCGTGTGATACTCAAATTAGCATTAAACAAATTATTACTAGAAATATAAAGATCAATAAATATTGTTCATGCCCTTGAAGAGTTTATAATCTAGTGACAGACTGTGGGACCAAGATAGTGGGACGAAGACAGAAAAACAGAGATCACTTCTGATTTTTGTGGAAAGTGTATCTAGATATCTGTGCAGGGTACTGTGAAACTACAGAGGTTGGGGAGTTGATGTCGTCCCATCTGGTGGCTCAGATTTGGCTTCCTAGGAGAGAGGCTTTCCCAGAGATGACCCAGGAGCTGAATCTTGAAGCACAACTAGGAATTAGCCACCCAAATAAGATGGCCGACTGAGGGGACAATACGTACAGCAACACAGAGTCAGAAAGGACCTGGGATGAACAGGTAGCTCCAAGCAGGTTAGTACTTGAGCATTCAGGAGAAGCTACAGAGCATTTGGAGAAGAGCTTGTAAAGACAGAAGGAGTCCCAGTTGCAGGGATCCCATATGTTAAGTCACATGGGTGGACATTATGAGGAGGCATGATGAGGAGTCAAGGAAAAGATGTACATAAGTGAGGGAAGGCCATGTTCAGACTTTGCACTATAGCTGGGTCCCTGTCAGTGTGAGGAGAGTTCAAGAGGAACAAGATCCTGCCAGAAATTGTGTTCACTCTTCTTTTTACTTTGCTGACCTAAAGACTAATATTCAATGAATGGACTCAAATTGTCAAATATTTTTAAAGTATTTTGGTTTTTGTCTTAGGTTGTTTGTGCTATGATAACGGAATACCGCAAACTGGGTAATTTATAAAGAAGAGAAGTTTATTTCTCACAGTTCTGGAGGCTGGGAAGTCCAAGATCAAGGTGCTGACATCTGGTGAGGGCTGCTTTCTGCTTCCAAGATGGCATCTTGAGAGCCAAATCCTCTGGAGGATAGGAATGCTGTGTCTTCCTATGGCAGAAGGTGGAAAGGCAAAAAAGGAATAAACTTCTTCCAACAAGGCTTTTTATGATGGAATTAATCTATTTCATATGATTGTACTCCAAACATTTTTAAGGCGATAATACAAAATATTTATAAAGCAAACTTTTGAGGAAATTCATTGAGATCACCATTTCTTATTTTTCTGCTAATTTAATTAAAACATCTCCCAAAGGCTCTACCCAACACCTCCCAAAGGTCCCCACCTCCCAACACTATTGCATTGGGGATTAAGTTTCAACATGAATTTTTGGAGAGGACAAAAACATTCAAACCATAACAGCATTAGAATAATTTTTCTCAGCAATGTTGGTTCTGCCTGTTACAGAGTGTTTTGGAAATTTGTGGGAGCATCTTTGGTTGTCCAGATGATTGGCGTGTAGCAAGCTGTCCTGCAATGTGCTGCACAGCCCAGCATAAAGAATTCTCCCTTATTCTGGCTTCTTACTGTCCCTCCATACCAACTATAAATCAGTACTTTAATGTGTAATTGTATTGAAACGTTTTATAAGATGTTCTGCATATGCTTAATAATTTGCACAGGAAAAATTAAATGGAATAAACAGTTTCTCTCAAGATAATTAAATAAGTAACTTAGTTTATACATCCTGTCTATTCCTGATATTTTAAGATTTCTAGCCACACATTTAGTTTAAAATCGTGTTCGTAGCTGGGCACGGTGGCTCATGCCTGTATAATCCTAGCACTTTGGGAGGCAGAGGTGACTGAATTACTTGAGCTCAGGAGTTCAAGACCAGCCTGGGCAGCATGGCAAAACCCCATCTCTACAAAAAATACAAAAATTAGCCTGGCATGGTGGCGAACACCTGTGGTCCCAGCTACTCAGGAGGCTGAGGTGGGAGGGAGGATTTCATGAGCCTAGGAGGTTGGGGCTACAGTGAGCCAAGATTGCACCACTATACTGTAGCCTGGGCAACAGAGCAAGACCTGTCTCAAAAAATATATAAATAAAATAAAATAGTGTTAGTGCAGTAGAAGAATTACCTCAAAAGCCACAAACCAAATTAAAAATATATAGCCATGGAAATGTGCAACCTTTTTAAAATAACTATCATTAAATTACCAGAGTAACAAGAAACACAGGATCTCATTGAATTTCATCAACAAAGTTTGCTTTATAAATATTTTGTATTATTGCCTTTTAAAGTTTTTAGAGCACAATCATATGAAATTTATGTTGTGATAATTATATAATGATTTATTTATCTGAGGGTGGCCAGCTTGTTGCTTTTTTAATCTTACTGTTTTACTGCCTAGCAAAGTCTACCACCCAACTTCTGAGAAGGCAGTTTTGTGACTATTTCTTTGTCCAATTCAGCCTCAATTCTCTGTTGCCTATGGAGGGATCTCCAGGGCCTTTTAAAGTACTGGGGAATTAATGCTTGCTTCAGAATGTTATGGAATTTTGAGACAGGATAAATATTCTCTGTGATATTTCCACACTATCTTACCCTAACACATAGAGAATTATTTTGACACTATTCATCTGTAAGGAACACTCACTTGGGAGAATATTCATGCTCAATTGTGAGTGTCACACTTCCTGATTTTCTCCACTATGACGTTTGTAATTTGATTGGCATGTTATATTTATTTTAATAAAGGTTATTTCCTTCTTTCCCTTATAATATATAACAAGTATGATCTGTTATTACATATCGTATTAGTCCATTTTCACACTGCTGTAAAGAACTACCTGAGACTGGGTAATTTATAAAGAAAAGAGCTTTAATTGGCTCACAGTTCTGCATGGCTGGGGAGGCCTCGGGAAACTTACAATCATGGCAGAAGCAGCAAGGTATGTCCTACATGGCATCAGGAGAGAGAGAGCGAGGGGGGATCTGCCACACACTCTTAAACCATCAGATCTCGTGAGAACTCACTCACTATCATGAGAACAGCATGGCAGAAAGCGCCCCCATGATTCAATCACCTCCCACCAGGTCCCTCCCCCGACCTGTGAGGATTACAATTTGACATGAAATTTGGGTGGGGACACAAAGCCAAACCATATCAGTGTCTCAACTAGTTTTTATTCTAGTATCCATCTAGATCTCTACTCTCATGTTCCCATTCTCATACAGAATGGCTTTTGATCACGTTATTTTTCTCACACCCAACCTTATTCTTTAAAAGTAGAGGCAAATGGCTGGGTGTGGTGGCTCACACCTCTAATCCCAGCACTTTGGAAGGCTGAGACAGACAGATCACCTGAGGTCAGGAGTTTAAGACCAACCTGGCCAACATGCTGAAACCTCATCTCTACTAAAAATACAAAAATTAGCTAGGTGTCATGGTGCACCCCTGTAATCCCAGCTACTTGGGAGGCTGAGGCACAAGAATCTCTTGAACCTGGGAGGCAGAGGCTGCAGTGAGCCAAGGTAGTGCTACTGCACTCCAGCCTGTGCAATAGAGTGAGATTCTGTCTCCAAAAAAAAAAAAAAAAAGTAGAAGCAAACATCTGATTCATTCATAAAAATGTTTCCTGAGGTAGTTGCATATGAGCATCATGTATATAATGACACTTACATCATCTTACTATAAATTACTTTTCTTATATTTCTTCTTTATAATACATTTAGGGCACAACAATAAAGTATATTGATTTTTTCTTTGAAATAATGTGTGTAAATAGGCTATAATTCTATGAATTTTACTTAAGTATAATAGAAGTGGCATTACAAAATATTTGTTATTAAAGGGAACGTTGAATCCAATATAGTTGAGAACCACAGTGCTAGAGGTAAAATGCTGAACAAGATAGTCCTGTCCCCTACTCTCATGAAAACTCTCTTAACTGTTTTATAAAGTCCAAAAGTGGTTGGAGAAAAGAAATAACTAATGGTATTGTGATATGGTGAGAAAGATAATGTGAGAGTAATATTTGTCTGGGGCCCTGACCTGAGTAAGGATGGTAAAGAGGGCATATGGACAAAGAAGAGAAAAATAATCTTGATCCAGTCTATTAAGATGGAGAATGAAGACAGCAGCAGCCATCCTTGGCTAGGTCTGTTTTACATTTACTGTGAATGCTAAAACATCACTAATATTTAAAGTTATTTTTCCTGTAAATATTGGCCCTAATAAAAAAAATAAGTAATTGGTTCTGTATGGCAAAATACCCAGTCCGTGGAATTCTGAACCAGGCTGTCCTCAACAAAGGTTCATTTTCTAGTGTAAGCCATTCCATCAAAGAATGGCTCATCCTTCTGCCACTCAACACCAAAACCAAAGCCACATGGAGGTGATGGGTAAAACTAACCATAGAAAAGTCACAATTAGGCAGAATTCCCCTGTTCTCATGTAGACCCAGAATAGAGCCTTGATGGTTACTTGATATCTACACAGAGGACAAATAGGCCAAGGGAATACCTAAGAATTGAGCCATCAGTTGTAACCAAGTTCCCACTCAGCAGGTTATTTAATCTCCCTCTCCTTCACTGTACCTGTTCTTACTTAGTCCTGTTGGGAAAAAAAAAAAAAAAAAGTGGGGGAGGGACCAAAAAATTGTGTAGAGTAGCATGGGGATGCTGTATGAAATAGTGATTATTTTAAAGCTCCTGGGGCAAAGAAATTAAGAAAATATAGAAGTCATCTTTTGTCTCTAGAGAAAGTATTCCATTTGCTTTTCCTAATCATATGTGAATGATAAAAATGAAGTTTTAAGTGCCTACACCTATATTCAGTATCTTTATATTGCATGTACTCAGTAAGGAGTATTTTCAAAAGAAATCAGCAGCCATGTGTAAATGTTTTGTTTCAATTGCACCCCCTAGCACTATAAACCTTGTAATTGTTTTCCCTCCCATTGGAATATCTTAAACAAAAACAGAATGTTCTAATTAACCCACTGGAGACTTATAATGATATAATAAAGATAACTTGCTCTTGTTTTGTCATTTGAAAGTAATTAAACAAAAGTTCCTTATTTAGGGAGTGATCAGGGCTTAAATTGTTTTTTTGTTTTTTAAGTTATATTCTTGGTGTTTTACTGGTAGACGTAGTTGAAAATTTAAATCATTAGGAGGTAACGTGGGGGTAGCTTTAAAAGTTATCATCGGTCAGGTGCGGTGGCTCATGCCTGTAATCCCAGCACTTTGGAAGGCCAAGGTGGGTAGATCATTTGAGGTCAGGAGTTCAAGACAAGCCTGGCCAACATGGTGAAACCCCGTTGCTGCTAAAAATATAAAAATTAGCCGGCGGTAGTGGCGCACGCCTCTAATCCCAGCTACTCAGGAGACTGAGGCAGGAGAATCGCTTGAACCCGGGAGGCGGAGGTTGCAGTGAGCCGAGATCGCACCACTGCACTCCCGTGTGGGCGACAGAGTGAGACCCTGTCCCCCCTCCAAAAAAAAGTTATCATCACTAAAGTTCATTTAAGTTCCATTATCTGAAGAAAGATATATAAAGCAGCAGAGAAAGTTCGCAACTATTCAATGACAAAAAGCTATCTGAAACTCTCATCTTCCACCTCAATTTTTCAGATATTTTAGGGAAATCATATTTTAAGAGTTCCACTGTTTGGTTAGTAAGGCAAAGGACAATGCAATACATACCTTGTACCAGTAATATATTATTTATTAATAAAAAGTTTAGACATCAATTAATTCTATTATCTTTATCTTATTTAAATGTAACACAAAAGTAAAGAAATACTTAGAAAACATTTTTGTGAACTTAAAATTGGATGATGGATTGAAACTGCTTGGGAAAATGTAAAATAACAAAAATGTAAAATAACAATAAAATAACACAGAAATCCAAACTTTTAATATTCAGATAAATTATGCAAAACATAGAATTCAAGTTTCAATTCTCCTAATTCCCTAACTGGTAAGTGAAGTGTGGGGATCTTCCTAAAACTCACCTTTATTCCTAAGGAACCAATACATTTGAGACTCTTGATTTATGAAATTTTAATTGAATCTAAATTTAACATAATGAAATTAGTTGAGTAGAACTATTGTAATACAAACGTAATTACGTTCCTTAGAAAAAACTCTCAGGCATGGTGTTAAAGGCATAATTTTTATGATCTCCAAATATTTTTCAAGTCTTGTTTGTATATGAGCACGTATTTATATACATAAAAGTACTATAAATACTTTCATATTTTAATCCTCCAACACCTTTTCAACCAGATGATATTATTCCCATTATACAGATAAAAGACCAAGGGTCAGGAGGTTAAATGAGTTTCCTCTCCAAGACTAAAAGCTTAGGTCTTGTCTGCAAACCCAGTGCAGCTCTTCCTCAAGTTCAAATGAAGATTTTTTTTTTTTTTGAGACAGGGTCTCATTTTGTCCAGAGTAGGTAGGACTATAAGTACATGCAACCACTCTCACTTCCCCAAGTGAAAATATCCTATTAGAAATGTTTAGATAGCTAGGTGTAGTAACTCACACCTGTAGACCAGGCTACTCTAAAGGCTGAGGCGGGAGGATCCCTTGAGCTCAGGAGTTCGAGTCCAGTCCTGGGCAACAAAGCAAGATTCTCCTACCCTTCGTTTCTAAATAAATAAATACATAGGCTGGGCGTGGCGGCTCACACCTGGGATTACAGAATCCCAGAACTTTGGGAGGTTGAGGTGGGAGGATCACTTGAGGTCAGGAGTTTGAGACCAGCCTGGCCAACATGGTGAAACCCCATCTCTACTAAAAATACAAAAATTAGCCGGGCACGGTGATGCATGCCTGTAGTCCCAGCTACTCGGGAGGCTGAGGCAAAAGAATTGCTTGAACCCAGGAGGCAGAGGTTGCAGTGGGCCGAGATTGCGCCACTGCACTCCAGCCTGGTGACAGAGTGAGACTCCGTCTCAAAATAAATAAATAAATAATTAAATAACTAAATACATAAATATTTAGCACAGCATGGGGTAGTTCTCAGTGTGTGGTGCCCTGCTCAGCAGTATTGGCGTCACCTGAGAGCTTGTTACAAGTGTGAATTTCCTGGCCCTTCCTCAGACCTACTAAACCAGAAACTTTGGGATGGGGCCCAGCATTCTGTTTTAACAAACCTTCCAATGGCTTCTGATGAACCCTAAAGTTTGACAACCAATGGCATAGAGTTTTCTTTTTCTCTGGCTCATTAAATTGTCAAACCCAGTACAAAAATTATTAGTTTCGAGAAAGGGCCTATTAATGTACATTAAAAGGGCCAATTTTTACTGAATGCTTATCATGTAGCAAGCATTGTTCTATGAACCTTCACTCATTGAATCATCACAATGAGCCCTGCAAGGTAGGTGTTATTACTGATCGCTGAGGCATAGAGAGATTTGGTGATTTTCCAATCTCTAGTGGCAGAGAAGAGGTGGTCAGATTTGAGAATCCATATTCTTAACCATACCGTTCACATGCAATCTGAGAATTTACACAGTCAGCACATATGCCTCAAGAGAATGCTGCCTGGTGCACTGGAAAACACACCAAGCTTTGGAGTTAGACACACCTGGGTGGAATTCCAGCTAGTCAAGTAGTGAACAGAAAGAAACTTCCTTTGCAGAGATGAAAGAACCAGGCAGATTGTTTCTGAAACACAAATACAAGTTTGCAACTTAATAAGTAGAAATATTTCTTTAAAACTTCTGCTTTCCTAAAATAGTCTTCTGCCTCAGGCTTACATGGACTACAAAATACTGGGAGAAAAAAAATGTGCTGCAGAATTCTTGTGTTATAAACATTTATGAATAAGGTAGCAAAATATAAGGAATCTCATGGGAATTTGTTTCCATGCTATTTCCTCATTAGCAATGATATATTTTTATTTCATAGCTTCCAGGCGTTTCCATTCTGTAGTCCCCATATTATGAAAAACTGTTCAAGATTTTCAAGTGCAAGTGCAAAAACACAAATACTTCACAAAAAGAATTTAGCTTATATCAAAATAAAGCCATGCAGAGAAGGGAGACAATTTTAGCCTCCTACCATTATCCTTATTTCCATTTGGTGTAACTTATACAAGTAGCAGATCCTTTAAAAAACATATATAAGAGCATGTCATTTTCCTACATATGCCCTTCAACAGTGGTTTCTCATCACACATAAAATAAAGCCTTATGGTGGCTGGCA
Organism: Homo sapiens; assembly: GCF_000001405.40. Taxonomy (NCBI): domain Eukaryota; kingdom Metazoa; phylum Chordata; class Mammalia; order Primates; family Hominidae; genus Homo; species Homo sapiens. The sequence goes on from NC_000012.12 coordinate 71,534,597, forward strand.
AAGCCCTCCATGAGATGGTCTCAGGCTCTCTCTCCCAACCTCGAGTCCTCACTCATTCCTCAGAAACAGTTGGTCCTTTGCTGCTCCTTTAACAAGTCAAGCAAGCTCCCTCCAGCCTCCAGCCCTTGTACTTACTCTTCTCTTTTCCTTGGTAACTTTTCCCAAATATTCACAAGGATTTTCTCCCTGTATTCCTTCTGGTCTCCAGTTAAATATCACCTTTCAGAGAGACCTTCCCTGACCACCTTTAAAATAAAAATCTCACCCCCTGATACCATCTATCCCAAATTCATAGTTTTGTTTTTTATTCATAGTACTTATCACTTGTCTCATGTTAATATATTCATTTGTTCATCTTTAATTATCTTCACTCTTCACAGGAATTTCAGCTCCCCAAAAGACAAGACTTTGTCTGATGCTCTGTTGTTTTTCTGACACCTGGAACAGTGCCTGGCCTTGTTTAGGCCTGTTATTGTTCATTTTTTTTAACATTTTTCTTTATTTCTTTTAACATACAGTATGCTGCAGAATAATCAGCTAAGACACGTACCCACAGAAGCTCTGCAGAATTTGCGAAGCCTTCAATCCCTGTAAGTATAGTAGACATTGCAAAATATATTTAAGATCAATTTGGGAAGAAGCATTGAAATGTTCAGTTGACCATTTTAGTATGTTCCTTGGTTGGGAGTCATACCTAAATGTATTGTGAATGAGAGCCCATTAGAGTAACAACTCTTCATAGCCTCATTGAGCAATATGTATGGGAGGAACCAGTGTTGGAGTTTGGGGTTTTAGGGTGGACATTTAATTGCAACATCTCCAGTCCAAAGCACTACTTCCAAGATCCTGTCCTACATTCCCTTGTAATATTCTTGCTTCTGAATTCGAATAAGAAATAGTGCTTTCCTTTTACCTAAAAAAAAAAAATAGATGCTGTAATCTAGACATTTTGACATCTTTGATTTATTCTGTTTTAGGATTATTTGAGTTGCCTTGTAATCAAGTTTTTTCGAGTCAAATAAAGGCTTACTATTTTAGTACTGCCTATATAATACATTAGGGATCCTCAAGTCAGGAGCCTAAGATCTACTGGTATATCCTGAAGCTTCCCCATCACAGAACACAGATGTGCAGACATGGCCATAAACAATCCCACAGATACAAACATACCTTAGATTCACACACCACACACAGACACATGGACTCACAGAGGTGTTGGTGTTCCCTACTCTGAATCCACAACTTTTCCATCAGGAGTTTCCTACCCCCCTACACACACTGATTTAAAACTTCTGAATAAATAAAATTACTCACAAAAGAACATTCTCCCAGCTAAATGTTTTGGAACTTGTATTGTAAGCAGTTGATTGTAGTGATTACTTGGCAAGTCTATACCACTACTATTTAGTCAGTAAATCTTCCTCCCATTAGAATGTATAAGTGTTTACAATATACTGCATGATGTCCAATATATCACACGTGTGATATATGCTGTAATTTTACTTACAATGGAGATGCACATCTGCCAAACAAAATACTGGGTTGTAGTTCGTGATGAGGAAGATAAATGCATTAAAAGGGCAAATAAATATTGATAAATATTGTGGACTCCAGCTGAAAATTGTTGTAAAGAATCCTTCGGTTAATAATTACATATAGTTTGCTTAATGCGTTTTACCGAGGTAACATAGAAGGAGGACTGTGAGATTTGAAGATGATACTTTCGTCCTTTGATCTTTTTTTCTTTTTAATGAAAGAAAATCTGTGCTTGAGATCATTTCAAGCCTTTTACTCCAGTCAAACAAAGTGACTTCCTAGGTTTTCACCAGCCTATAGATAAACAAGCCCACAAGGGCCCCTTTGTGGTATGAGATAGGTCTGTTGTATTTTCTGGAGCTCCTTAATGTCATGACAGTATCACTTCTCCTTTGTTGCACAAGCCTTTACCTGAAGGAAAGAAGAAACAGCTGGAGAAGCAAAACAGCCTCAAGTTGGGGTATCTGTGTGGCAAAATTGAAATGGTGATAATGGCGGTAGCCAGTAGGAACTTTAAACAGCTGCAAGGCAGGCAGTAGATAGAAGGATAAGAGTTTGTAACCAAAAGCCACTATCAGCTGAAAGAAGATCACAAACAGAACACAAACAGAAGTGAACTCTTTGAGAAAAAGAAAACCATGAATCTTTTGTTCACTGGAACTGGTGGTGCCTGCCTGATAAAGGTGTTCAGATTTAGTTTCTTACAGTCTAGATATTCACTGTTCACCAGGTGTCTCTACATTTGGTTTCTGGTTTTGCAAAAAGAATAACATTTTGAAACTTTATAACTATGTGTTCCCTGTGAAAAGGTCAAGGGTTAACTTTCTGGTTTGACACTGACCACATCCAAACTAAAGGATCTAGATAGATACTCGGCCCCCAGTTCACACTGGATTGTATCAGCTGGGTTATGCAATGTTTGTCAGGGGCCCCTTTGTCCAGAGCACAGACAGACCAGTGTGAGTGTTGAATGTTGACAATGTGTGCCAGTGTCCCACTTTTTCTCACTGATATTTTTTGTGCAGCTTTGATGCAAGACTTAAGAGTTGTCAAAAAAAAAAAAAAAAGCATGATATGTTGGGAGGTTAAAGTGGGAGGATCACTTGGAGGCCAGGAGTTTGAGATCAGCTTGGGCAACATAGTGAGACACCCCCACTGCCATCTCTACAAAATAAAAATTAAAAAACTTAGCTAGGTGTGGTGACATGTGCCCGCAGTCCCAGCTAGTCGGGAGGCTGAAGCAGGAGGATCACTTGGGCCCAGGAGTTTGAGGTTACAGGTTACAGTGAGCTATATCATGCCACTGCACTCCAGCCTGAGCTACAGAGCACCACTCCAGAGTAAGAAAAGAAAAGAAAAGAAAAAAGAAAAGAGCATGATAAACATAGGCTGAACCACCAACTCTGCAGATACCATATTGTACCAACAAAAGGAGTGCCCTACCCATACATACACAAGGCCAGTTTGGAGGTTTAGGGTATATTGTGCCCCTTTAAAGTTCTATTGTCCTGGTTTTAAAGTATTTAATTGTACTTCTCCTTCTTCCTTTAAGCACGTCTAAAAATAAAAACATTAGTTTGAATTTACTGATCATTACAAACATGCATTCCTTATCCATTCTCCATTCATTTTCCAGGCCATACGTTAGCCTCTGTGCTTCCGTATCAATAAAGTAATGATGAGAGTAGGACTCTGCCTCATCCACACTGCCAATGCCTAGAAAGTCTCCACTCCATTGCCATCTCTTCTTGGACTGGAGTCAACCCTTAGATCTTCACTTAGCCTTTTTTTCTACATGGTTTCCCTTTTTTTTTCTTTTCACTCTCTTGAATTCACTTTATTTTTCTCCACGTTATTATTTTTCTTGGATTATACATTCACTCTTTAAGAAGCACTCTACCCTTGATAGGGGCTGTGAGCTCATTGTCTTTATACATGCCTGGCCTTGTATAAAGAGTAATGGCAAAAACCACATTTACTTTTGTACCAACTGAATAACTTCTACAGCAGGCCTTCTCAACACTGGCTACAAATAAGATTCTTCTGGAAAGACCCAAAGCCTAGACTGCAGCCTAGAACAATTAAAATCAGAATCTCTGGCCAGGTATGGTGGCTCATGCCTGTAATCTCAGCGTTTTGGGAGGCTGAAGTGGGAGGATCACTTGAACCCAGGAGTTTGAGACCAGCTTGGACAACATAGTGAGACCCCTGTCTCTCTATAAAAAATTAAAAAGTTAGCTGGGCATGGTGGCCTGCGCCTATAATCCCAGCTACACATGAGGCTGAGGTGGGAGGATCACTTGAACTCAAGAAGAATTCGAGGGTACAGTGAGCCCTGATCATGCCACTGCACTCTCTGAGGATAGGACTCATGCATGCACTAGTGTTTTCTAACTGGCTTAATTGCACAGTTAAGTATTTCCTAAGTGAAAATTAGGAAAACTATTGACCTGACCTGGAGCATTCCCTCAGATGATCTGCAAAGTATTCTCCAGAACTCTTTTCAAACCTGAAATTACAAGCTTGAGTAATGCAGTGAGATGCTGTCTCTAAAAATAATTAAGTAAATAAATAAAATTGGCTGGGCGTCATGTGCATGACTGTAGTCCCACCTATGCTGGAGGCTGAGGTGGGAGGATCATTTGAGCCCAGGAGTTTGAGGCTGCAGTGAGCTATGATCCTGCCACTGCACTCCAGCCCGGGCAATAGAGCAAGACCGTGTCTCTGAAAAAAAGGAAAAGAAATACCTGAAATAATAACAAAATCCATACTTTGCACTCTTCTATGAGCTAATAATATACTTAAAATATAAAAGTCAGGCATTGTCTTATTTGTGTTTAATTGAAAACAGCTTGCATGCCTATGCATTCCACTGATAACCCAGGGAGATAAAGTTAAGAGGCCACATGCTCTATCACCCTGCTATTCAGATTTGTTCTGTGGGCCAGCAGCATCAGCACTGCCTAAGAAATGCAGAACACTTGGTCTCAGCTCTGTCTTACTTAAAAAAATCTTCATTTTAACAAAATCCTAGGTGATTCGTAGGCAAAATGCATTTGAGAAATTAAAATTGTTAGTGTTCTATAACACTAACAAAGTGGTCTACAAATCAAAAATGGTTGAAAACGACTGACGTAGATCATTTGCATTCTTTGCTCCACCCATATACACTTGGCTTCCTTGAATAAAGTTTAGGAAATTTGATACACTGAAATTGGTAACATTGCTGTCAGGAAGAAACAAATTGTGCTCATGTTTCAAGGAATGTTAATTTTCCACTTATTCCACATATACAAAAGATGTTTTGTTCATAATGGAAACACATAGGTACACTTGTGGTTTTTTTGTTTTGTTTTGTTTTTTGAGTTGGAGTCTCACTCTGTTGCCCAGGCTGGAGTACAGTGGTGCGATCTCAGCTCGCTGCAACCTCCACCTCCCAGGTTCAAGCGATTTTTCTGCCTCAGCCTCCTAAGTAGCTGGAATTACAGGCACCTGCCACCACGGCTGGCTAATTTTTTGTATTTTTGTAGAGACAGGGTTTCACTATGTTGGTCAGGCTGGTCTCGAATGCCTGAGCTCAAGTAATCTGCCTGCCTTGGCCTCCCAAAGTGCCGGGATTACAGGAGTGAGCCACAGTACCCAGGCCACTTGTGTTCTTTTAACTCTTCTGATGCTAACAAATTGCTGGGCTAAGGAATAAGAGTGCAGGCCCACAAGCCAGAGCCCAGAAGCCCAGAGCCTGCCCCTGTACAGTATGTACATTTGGCTTCTGACATGGCAATGACTTCCCAGACACCAATTAGATTTTTTGTAATGTAATCAAATATAACCTAATTTCCTTTCTGTTTTTTGGAAGGGAATAGGAAATGTAATCAGAATTCACAGTAAGCTGTATTTTACCAAAAAACTTTTGGGAGTATAGACATTTGAGGACTAGAATCAGATTACAGTGATTTGATGGAAACTCAAAACTTAACCCTCCCATACCCTCACACTTTTATATTAATAGTTAAGAAATCAATCTATTTAAAAAATTGCTTCATTTGTGATTGTCATTAATGAATTTTAAGCAACTCACTGTCACTAGTGAAGTTCAAGATGACCAAAGAGAGTTGCATATTCATGTTTGTCCAGATAACCAGAGTACTATTTAATGCCTGTTGGTTTTTATTCCAAGTGTGCACAAGTGAAGCTAACTGTGGAATTTGCATAATCGCAAAGGTAATAGGTTGGCAAATAGAAAATGAAAGAAGAATTAAACATATCTTTATTATTGTCTCTATTCTCCAATTAACTAATATTCATCTTCAGAATATGACTATATTTTAAAACTCAAGAATAATGTATAATTTCTGCCTGGCACACCAGCTGCCCATACATCTTATTATGATATCATCTTCAGGGCTATAGAACCCACCCCTGGACTCTATAAAATGTCAATAACTTCATCGGATTCTGCATGGTAATCTTTTCCTTACAGTAGTCAAAAAAGAGAGAGAAAATAAGTGAGAGGAATGGGTGAGGAGGAAGACATGGGGCTCACTGTGCTGAGCAGGAGGTAAGACAAGCCTAGAACCAGGAGCAGTTTTCTCCCATTAATATCCAGGAGGCTATTGGGCTTCAGACATGGGATATAGAATGGGAAGGAAGTAACAGAAGACAAGGAAGTGTAAGCAGACCAAAAGAAAGAAGATGAGGTAGCCAAAAGAATAAGATTAAAGGATCAAAGGGGTTAAAAAAACAGTGGTTTTAGTATTGGTGATATTCCTTCCACTAAAATAGTCTCCAGAAACAGAAATCACAAGCCTATACAATAAAAATGAACCGTGACTTTAGTTTGTTTTGCTTTCTTCACAAAAGTGCCAGGGTATTAGGTACGTATTGGGATGGAGGTGAACTTAGAAGTTCTAGAGGCCAAAGCATTTGTCTATTGCACAGTGAAGCGTTCACTTCACGGAACCATATGCAGATCAGCACCCAGTGAATTCTTATGAGGAGGAAAAGTTTTGCCCGGACTCTTCTCCAATTTGAACATTGGGGAGAATTATTTTAACAGGAAAAGCTCCTTCTACATAATGTTTACAAGAAGAGAGAGCTAAAATTGGAGCATTGTCCACAGAATCATATAAGGAGGGAAAAGTGAATACTTTATGCAATAGCCATGCATGAAAGATTCTTATATCAGGTTACCTGCCAGTCCTGTGATAAATTGCATGCATGGCAGTCATATCAGAGAAATAAAGAGAATATGGGTATTATGGAATGAGAAGTAAAATAAATTTTTTTAAAGCTTGTGGTGTAAAATGAAGGTTAACTTTGGAAAGTAGATTGAACTCTTGGTTACAGAGATGACTACCATATAAGTGAGGCACAGTCTTTCTGCCTTTTCAGGATAAACACGGTCTGTGATCAGTTGTGAAAAGACACATAAGGAAAGCAGCAGAGAATGTGAATATTGCAAAGACAAAATCAGAATGTGGAATTGAATGCACTTCCATGGTTATCAAAGCAGCAGCCTCCCATATTTACTAAACAGTTTTACTTCCATCATCATGCTTTATCCTCACAGAAACCTCATGAAGTAGGTGCTGAGATTATTCCCTCCTTAGTACTGAGGAAGCAAAGAGTGCAGAGAGGTCAGCTGATCTTCCCAAGGTCACATGATTTGTAACGGAGTCAGGCTAGAGGTGAGTCTGGGATAAGAACCCTAGTTTGCCACCAGATTCCAGAATCTGACCATTTCACCACCACATTATCTTACCTCCCTCAGAGAATCCTCTGCAGAAAATGGGCACTGATGAAAAGAAGGAAAGGCTTAACAGAAACACATATTATACCTGTAGACATATAATTGTGAATGTTTATAAAAAGAAAGGGAAGTTGGAATGCTGGAAAACAGAAAGAAATAAATGAAAGAAGGGAAGGCAACAATATCAAAGCGTGAGCCAGTCAGCCTTTTCAAGTGTTTCTCTGTGCATTTAGTTGTCTGGTCCCTCACTACCTATGAGGTAGAAACTGTCTCCACTTTTCTGATGAGGAAACCGTAGGTGAGAAAGTGAAAGGCATCCTACTGCTAATGCAAAAGTAAGGATTGATTAGACAAAGACAAGAAAGAAGAACATTCCAGACAGAGGGAACTATGTGTGCAACTCCTTATATTGGTGGGGGAAGCCTGGTATATCAAGAAACAGAAGGTCAGTGCAGCTGAAGCAGAAGTGAGGTGGAGAGACGTGCAAGAAGAGCACATCTAGTGAGGCAGGTGGAGGCCAGACCCCTTGAAAGATATTTGGGACATGTCAAGGATTTCAGTCTTTACTGTAAAAGCAATGGGAATCTGTTGGAGGGTTTTAAGGCTGGCAGGTGGGGGTACTCAGATCTGTGTCATTGCAATAGTCTAGGAGAGAAAGGAGAACTTCATCAGGTTAGGGACGGTGGAGATGAAGAAAGGGAGATGGATTCGAGAAATATCTAGGAGATGAAATTACCAGTGTTTGGTAATGAATTGGCTATGAAGAATGAAGCAGAAAGAAGTGTGGAGAATAATTTCTAAGTTTCTGATTTATACAGCCATGTGCTTACTGAAGCCAGTCACTGGGCAAGACACACTGGGAGACGGCTATACATATTTGGGGAGTGTGTGGTTCCAGGATAATGAGTTTGGTCTTGAGCACTTGTGTTTGAGGAGGAACAACTAAGTAGAGATGTCACATAGTTTGAAATCCAGATCTGGATGGAAAGAAAAAAAAAAAGTAAAATCTAGTTTAGGTTCCCCAACCATGCATTCCTCTTCACCTAACACTTCATTATAATGATTGATTTGTCTGACTACCCTTTAGAAAACATGCTCCATAATGGCTGGGACCATGCCTCCCTGGTTTACTGCTAAATCTTCAGCACCAGTAGAGTAGCTAGGACAAAGAAAGCACTAGGACATACGTATCAGACTGAACTGAAACCTCAAACTCTTAAGTGTTGATCTAGACAGCTGCTCAGACAAGATCGGGCACATTCAAGGTGATAGGGCCATAGGCTAGACAGCCACTCAAGATCAGTTCATCTCCCCTAGTTTAACTGTAACCTGCATTCATTCATCTCCCTGGCTCCAAACTCTTACCTCTGTACCCTGGCTTTCCCACATGCCTTTCCTGGGCTGGGAGTTGGACCCAGTGGTTCCTGCAGAGATTTTAGAGTTGATCTATCTGCCAGAATTAGTTTTCCCATTGTCTCAACTGAGGACTCCCCATTCCAAGAGTAAGACACAGGAAAGAACCATGATATTAAGTCTTGGAAGGTTAATGAGATTCAGATAGGCAGTGGGTAGGGGATGCTCATGAACAAAAGGCCCAGAAGTACTGTGGGAAAGAGCCAGAAAAGAGACTTGACTGGGACAGAGAAATGAGGTAAAAGTTTGGCCAGATAAGGTAAGTAGAGAGCTTTGAATATCAGAATGGAAAGTTAGGGTTTAAAAGGAATGATAATGTGGAAGAACTGTAGATTTCTAACAGGGAAATTATTTAAGGCGTAACTTCAGGGAGATTAATCTGGCAGCAGCCTACAGGATTAATTGAAGAGATAAGAGATCAAAGGCAAAAGGACCAGCTCAGAGGCTGTTGCAGTAATGCAGGTGTGAAGAGATAAGAGAATTAACTAGACAGTGGAAATGGAAAGTCTCGGAGATGAAGATAAATGGAAAGAACTTAGTGAATGATTGGCTGGAAGGCAATGGAAGATTCAAAAATGACCCCTAGATTTTAAACCCTGGTGATACCTGGAAGACTAATAGTGCCCCTGATAGAAAAAGGGTCTTCGTTTTCTATGAAGAAAAATAAAACTGAAGAAGTTATTGCTCACATTACATTGGCTGTAGATCATCTCCTTGCTACAGTATTCACAGCAGTGGTGATCTCTGAGCTCACCAAGCAACTTTTAATGTGATTTGACTTTAAAATATATTCCTTATTGGAGTCTTGCACTCCTCAAAGACGCCAGAGAGACAGAGGTTTGGTTCCTTTAGACATTTCATCTGGCTGCTAGTCAAGACAGCTGATTAGTCTCTAAATTACTGCACTTCAATGAACCTGTAGACTTTATCTCTCCCCAACCTGGAGAGGGAGAAAGGGGAAATTCTTTTTTTTTTTTCTTTGTCTTTTTTTTTTCTTCGTCTTTTTTTTTTTCTTCTTCTTCTTTTTTTTTTTTTTGTTAACCATTTCAGAGGTAAGTCTAAAGCAATAATTTTTCTTCCTACTGGCCTCATTAAGTTTACCAGTAAATAAGATGGTGATTAGAAAGACAAAAGCACAAATTTCCCATATAAGCAATCATGTTATTTAATATCTTCCTAGATAGGCTTAATATCTCCCTGGATATTAATTTGGAATCACACATTATGGTCTCCATAAATATTAAAAAAAAAAAAACCACCACCACAACAAAAGTGACCCTGGTGTTATTGCAAAGAATTAATATAAATCAATATGGATTCAAGCTGTAAGAGTACATATAGATTAAATAATAGGCCGATAGTATTATAATAGTTCTGTGACAAATTTAGCTCCAATGATCCACTGATTCCAGGGCAATAAAATTTCAATGCAGTAAAATTTTATCACAACAAAAAATGTATGTACTTTGTTAAACTGTAATATATGCAGATACAGAACCACACGATTTTCACTTTATTGAAAAAGTAAAATAATAATCAAGAATGCTTTTATTTCTTAAAATTTATAAATGAACTATATTGCTGTGGTTTTTTGGCTTTCCTGACTTGTTCAAAGTGGTCTCACAAAATGTACAATGTACTGTTTAAGAGGGTTGGTCACCTCTTTAAAACTTATTTTTTTAAAATGCTCATCCAGGCCAGGAGCCGTGGCTCACACCTGTAAACCCAGCACTTTGGGAAGCCGAGGCAGGAGGATTGCTTGAGCCCAGGAGTTCAAGACCAGCCTAGGCAACATGGCAAGACCCCATCTCTACAAAAGTAACAAAATAAAAATAAAAATAAAAATAAATCTTTTTATAATGCTCATCCAGCCGGGCACAGTGGCTCACCCCTGTAGTCCTAACACTTTCGGAGGCCAAGGCGGGAGGATCACTTGAGATCAGGAGTTTGAGACCAACCTGGCCAACATGGTGAAACCCTGTCTCTACCAAAAAATACAAAAAATTAGCTGGGCATGGTGGTGTACACCTGTGGTCCCAGCTGCTCTGCTGGGGAGGCTGAGATGGAAGAATCACTTGAACCCAAGAGCAGAGGTTGCAGTGAGCTGAGATCCTGCCACTGCACTCCAGCGTGAGTGACAGAGTGAGACCCTGTCTCAAAAAAATAAATAAATAAAATGCTCATCCAAATATAAAATAGCAGTATCAGTCATAAAAATGCATTGCTTCATAACTCTGTTTATTACAAGAATCCCTATAAACTGTATTATGCAGCTGCAAGATTCTTCACACTTTTGGCTTTTTTTTTTCTCCAAGTCATCCATGTTAATAATTGACATTATTACAGTCATCTCAGATATGGAATTAACCAAGATCAATGGCTTATCTTTTGACTAACACTTTACTTCTTATAGTTAATGGCTCATCAAAGACATTCTTAAACAAAGATACAGATTTGTGTGATACATTGACAAGGTGTCATATATGAGATATGTATAAAGGGCCATTTTCTGGAACAACAATAGCAATAATGATCTGATACATTCTCTAATCTTTACAATAACACCATTTATAAGTGGAAAGTTTTTTCAGGGAGTATGGAGCAGATTGGCAAAATGTTTCTTGTAAAAGAGAAAATTTGCATTATTAACCTTTTCACATAGAAATATTAGGAAGAAAACTTTAAACACAAAGAAAATGAGCTTATTTTATTTGGTGGCAGGGGCAGGTGGGGTTGCCTGAACATAAAAGATTAATTGTTTGAGGCCTAGCACTTTGGGAGGCCAAGGCAGGCAGATCACCTGAGGTCAGGAGTTCAAGACCAGCCTGGCAAACATGGGGAAACCCTGTCTCTACTAAAAATACAAAAAAATTAGCTGGGTGTGGTGGCATGCACCTATAATACCAGCTACTCAGGAGGCTGAGGCAGGAGAATTGCTTGAACCCAGGAGGTGGAGGTTGCAGTGAGCCAAGATTGGACCACTGCACTCCAGCCTGGGAGACAGAGTGAGACTCAGTCTCAAAATATATATATATATATATTAACTGTTTGCCTGTTACCTTCTAGCTCTTTGCCACATAGAACACATTGATATGACAGAACCGCATTCACAGTGAACATGGAGTTATGTTTTATTTTTATTTTACCTAATACTGGGTGACATTCATCTCTGTTCTCGCATCCATCCAGTTGCCCAGGCCAGAATGCTGAATCACCATAGCTTCCTCACCTTCCTCTCTGGCCACATCTGGGGAGTCACCAAGTTCTGCCAGGCCCACATATTTAACATCTCTCATAGTAGGCCCTTCCTCACCATTTTCACACTTCCTTCAGGCACTGATCTTTCTCACCCTGATGACTGCAACTGCCTTGGTAATGTACTTTCCCACTAGGCCCTCCTACACACTGCTATTAGAGTGACCTTTCTACAGCACATGTATTATGAGGGCCTCCAGTCAGAAAGCCTACAACACCCCCATTTCAGAGAAACACTTTCATGCAAACCTTGAAGACTGCTGGGAGAGGATAAGTCATTTCTTGTAGGCAGGTAGCCCAGAAACCTGGGAGTGATGTCATCCAGACTCCACTTACTTTGGATACTCAAAGTTATTGAGGCCCCTCAGGGTGAACTTGATGGTTTTGACCAGGTCCAGTGGTGGGAGAGGCAACCACTGGGACCGTAAGAGACAGTCCCCTTGGCCAAGCAGCTTGAGCAGCAGCGCCTCTTGAGTAATTGCGGAGTCTTCAACCTCAAGCCCTCCCTCCAGAGAAGGAGTGATTTCAACACACACCCGAAAGTCATACCATGACCCTTCCTCATCAGTTGTAGCCCTCTAAGTAACATTGCAAAGACTCATACTTAATAAAAACTCCGTTCTTGCACCAGGTGTTATAATATTTTTCCTCAGCCATTTTAGCCTTTTGGACACCAACTATTCTATTGCTGGCCTAACACAGAAGATGTGCATCCTCTTTTCTCTGTGATGGAAACCTTGCTATAATACTAATTAAAACATGCAGTGTAGCTGCTGAACATAGATTAAAGAATGTATGGTAAATAGAGAAACACCAGCCCATATGGCAAGAAAATGGCAATCTCCCATAGACAGATGTGAAATGACAAAGGGTTAAGAAACTTCAGGAAGAATAAAATAAATTTTTAAAGGGAAAAATATGATACCACTTCCTAAATTTGAAGGTTTTCCTCAAATAATAAAGTCTGTCATTAAACAGTAGAATGCTTACTGTTTACAAAACACATTCGTATTTTCTCACTTAATTCCCAAAGCAATTCTGTGACATGTGATTCTGCCTTATACATGTGAACATTGACCCACAAAGAGAGATATCAATATGCCCTCAAATCTTGGAATTAAATGACAGTATCTTGACTTAAATCTGTGTCTCAAGTCTCCTGATTCAGTGCACTTTCCAGTTTACCACATGGTAATAGGTGCATGCCACCACACCCAGCTAATTTTTTTGTATTTTTAGTAGAGACAGGGTTTCCCCATGTTTGCCAGGCTGGTCTTGAACTCCTGACCTCAGGTGATCTGCCTGCCTTGGCCTCCCAAAGTGCTAGGCCTCAATTATGTAGGTGGCTGTAGATGGCATAAGATGTAGGGAAAATTTTTGTTTTACCTATAAATTATATATACTATATACTATAAACTATATGTAACAGACCCCCCCCAAAAGGACCATAAAGTGGGTGCTATTTCCGATATAGTGATCACTTTTCAGATGGCATTTCAAGATCACAATTAAGAGCTTTTATCTGAATGAAGGCAAGGCCACTCATTATTGAAAGTGTTTTACTTTGCTGCACATAACTGCAGACAGGTTTGGGGCTGCCTCTGTCACAATTTCAATGGATGCGTAAATGGCCAAGATGCCAAGATCATTGCTAGAAACTTTCTCTGAAAATGCCATCACTTCTTTGACCTTCAAAATGCAGATATTATAATCAGTGGTGTATCAGGAACAAAACTATTTGCCTTGTTGCACTGTGTGTGTGTGTGTGTGTGTGTGCGTAGATACATATACACATGCATAGCAATAATAGTAAAGGCTGAAAAAATAAGGGTGACTTCTATAAGTCTAATTGCAGGCACCTCTAAGTTATTTCTATTATGAGGGTTGAAAGAAATAGCCTGCATTTCTCAGAACTGAAATTCACTGACAATCCAGCACTCATTTTGGCCACTTTTGCTTAAGCAAAATTTGAATTTACCTTTATTTTTCTGAATGGTTTCAATGGTCAAAAGACAAAAATACAAAGTGTTAACCAGCTTCACATAATAATATTTAAAATCATTAAGGTACTTTAGATTTACAAAGTCCTGTTGTGTTATTTCCTTAATCAGAAAGCAACCCTATAAGATGGGAGTTATCCCTGTTTTACAGATGTGAAAGCTGAGGTCTGTTGATTTGGCCAAGGTCATACAGCTTCTAGAATTGGCTGGAACCTGGTACTTCCCATTCCAAATCTCTGCACTAATTTATGGATTCTAAGGTGCCTACACACACACACACACACACACACACACACACACCCTCTGTGACTTGCACAAAATGGAAATAACAAAGACATACTTAAAAGCAGAACTATATAGTGTAGTTATTTTTGTTGCTACTGATAATAAGTCTATTATGGAACCATATTTTATATGTGTATGTCTTCTTGTACCAGATAGTGATGTTTATCTTATACCCGACTGTTAAAATATTGCATTTTTCAAGCATATGAATAGAGAATGTTCAGCTGCCTGAAAAGACCAGATTGACGTAATATGAACTCTTTGTTTACTTGCTGAATGGACACAGCTTCTGCCCTGTCAGCTGCTTTGTCCACAGTCTTAACCTTGTTGTGGAAGAACCACCTGTGTGAGTGACTGGATAGTTAATTCTATACTCCTGTTTACCCTTGGGGTCTTCTGTTAAGAGTAAATCACATATAGAAGCAGAGTGTAGAATAGTGGTCGCCAGGGGCTGGGAGTGGGAGTGGTTGAGTGGGGAGATGTTGGAGAAGGGGTACAAAGCTTCAGTTAGACAGGATGAATAACTTCTGAAGAGCCATTGTATGGCATGGTGACTACAGTTAATAATAATATATTGTATACTTGAAAATTGCTAATAGATTAGATCTTAAATGTTGTCACCACAAAAAAATGTTAAGTATGTGAGGTGATGGATATGTTAATTAGCTTGATTTAATCATTTTACAATGTATACATATATCAAAACATCACATTGTACACCATAAATATATGCAATTTTTATTTGTCAATTATTCCTTAACAAAGCTGGAGGAGGAAATTAAATCAGATAATGCCTTTGAGTGTGAACAATATACCTGAATTAGGTTTAGACCACTGAGGCCAGGTGGATATGAACTCTAAAACACTGCATTTAGAAGGAGTATCATTTATTGAGAGCTTCTTATATGAAGAAACTGTTTAGTAGAGAGATGTGTTAATGCTTCACTCAGGACATCTGAAGGTCTATGCTGTTGAGCATTAAATCTGGGAATATTAGTATTTAGAGTGTTCGATCTCTGAAGAATTCTCCTGTCTTACTCATTTCATTTCAGATAGCAAATTGGTATAAGATAATAGTGTGGAGGCCAGATTATATCCTTTTTTCTGGGGGGAAAAGAAACGTGATTCATAAAAGATATTTGTCCAGAGAAATGGCTATATTAACGTTGGGAACTGATACCTGGGTCACTTCAAGATACAGCAGAAACTTTGGTAGGAACATAAAATACCAAAGAAGACAATCCTATGACTTCATGCTGAAAGAGCCTTTTCCATAAATGCATCCCAGTGTTTGCAATGAACTTTTTTGTCATTTTCAAGACTTTTATTTTTTTATTTTTTTTTTATTTTCTGTTGGCCAGGCTGGAATACAGTGGCAAGATCTCGGCTCACTGCAACCTCCACCTCCTGGGTTCAAGCAATTCTCGTGCCTCAGCCTCCCAAGTAGCTGGGATTACAGGCATGCACCACCACACCCACCTAATTTTTGTATTTTTGGTAGAGATGGGGTTTCACCGTGTTGGCTGGGCTGGTCTTGATCTCCTGACCTCTGTCTCCCTAAGTTCTGGGATTACAGGCATGAACCACTGCGCGCAGCCCAAGACTTTTAGAAACCACTCATACTTTCTTTTTTTTTTTTTTTTTAAGACAGAGTCTCACTCTGTTGGCCAGGCTGGAGTGCAGTGGCATGATCTCGGCTCACTGCAGCGTCTGCCTCCTGGGTTCAAGCGATTCTCCTGCCTCAGCCTCCCAAGTAGCTGGGACTACAGATGTGCATCACCACACCCAGCTAATTTTTTTTGTATTTTTTATAGAAATGGGGTTTCTCCATGTTGGCCAGGCTGGTCTGGAACTCCTGACCTCAGGTGATCTGCCCCCCTCAGCTTTTCAAAGTGCTGGGATTACAGGTGTGAGCCAACGGGCCCAGCCACCACTCATACTTTCAATGCATAAACGACTGGCAATGATCAGTCAACATATCAACAAAAACATAGAAGCTCATATTATTAAGTCTCTATCCTTTAATCAGTGCAATAGTTAAGGAGAGTTTACATGTGTGCTTTACTTCTAGTCAAACAAAAGCAATCACCTCTTTATCTCCTGATGAAATTATACCTTATTTGAGCATAAGCCAGGCACATTGTTGCTAGAGAAAGGAAAGAGAGATGGTGTTGAATTTTCTAAACATTTGTGGCTCCATTTG